>NC_000006.12:100070790-100222305 GCF_000001405.40 Homo sapiens | reverse complement strand
ATGGAGAGCATGAGGACAAATACCTAATTCATGCAGGGCTTAAAACCTAGATGACGGGTTGATAGGTGCAGCAAACCATCATGGCACATGCATACCTATGTAACAAACCTGTACGTTCTGCACATGTATCCCAGAACGTTAAGTAAAATAAAAATTTAAAAGAGACGCAGTTTAAGGAGAAAATGCTGGATTATAGGCTGTGTTAATGTAAATTGCCTATTTTTTTCTTTTAAAGATTAAAACAAGTGGAAATTCCAATCTTTGCCACATATGCATCACTGTTAAGTTTTTCTAGTTTTGAATTTTTCTTTAATTTGGTTTTGTAAACTGTGGTGTCTCCTTTTACTCCAAAGCAATGCCTTTTCCATGCTAGTCTTTGAATACTTCTGTCATAAAGACCTCTGCTTCCCCAGATTGTACATTTCCAATTTCTTTTCAAGTCCAACTAAAGATAATTTCTACCCTCTACTCTTAACCCCCAGCTATTTCAAAGCTTGTCAAAACTGAATATTTTGAGTTTATTTGGTAATTAATACCGGACTTTGAGCACTACTTCAGTAGTTATATTGAAGATAATTAACACTTGGAGAAAGACATAATTTAGAAACATGCAAGTATATTTAATGCAATCCGCAAATATTCCAGCCAAGCATTTAAAGCATTGGTATTTCAATTAGGTTTTCCATTTATTTAATCAATTTATATTTATTAAGTACCCACTCTGGGCTAGGTGCTGTGCTAACTGTGGGTGCAAAACATTCAACACAACAAGCATGACCTAGAAGACACGAAATACATAAATGTGATTAGCTTTATGAGAAAAAGAAATGCAGTGTTCTGTAGGACAGTGTCACAGGGACCAACCAAGGCTGCAGGTACAGGAAGCAGGGGCAAAGGAAGTTTCCCCAAGAGAATGGACACCCAAATGGGACCTGCAAGATGTGGGACAGTCATCCAGGTTGGGAGGGGCAGAGTATGGTAGGTGGGAGAAGTATTTCCAGTTGAGGGAATTGCCCAAAGCCCTAAAGGGCTGGTGGACTAAGGGAGGAGAGAATTTTTGAGAAGGTGGCTTGAAGAGGTAGGCAGGGGTTAGATCATCTAAGAGTTCAAGGACCATTATATATTTTAGAATTTTTGTGAGAGAAGTGAAATGGCCTGAAAACATAATATTTTCAGTCTATTATTCTGGTAGCTATGTGGCGAATATATTAAAGGGGTGAAATTATTTGGAGTGAGGAGACCTAGGAAAAATTCTATACAGTGAGAGAGGAGGACTTGGACTAGAACAGGGGATGAGGGGAAAAAGAAAGTTGGACATTTTGAGAGAGTTTTAGAGGCTGGAAGCAGCAGGTCTTGGTGATCAATCTTGTGGGAGGATGATGAAGATGAGGAAAGAATTAGGGAAACCTCCAGGTTTTTGGCTTAAACATTAAATTATTGCCCTAAAATTAAACACAAAGAAAGCAAAAGTAACATTTCAGGTTTATACTCCTGTACTACTGGAAAAGAAACAGTGTAGGCAAGACCAATCAGGAAAAGAGACAGTGTAGGCAAGACCAATCAGAAAGAGAGCTGGCATCCCTGGAACGGGACAGAGAGTAAACAGCCGATATGTTTCACAGTGGGAATAATACCAGACCTCAATGTCTGCCTTTGAACAATTTGCTTCATCTTTTTTTCCCATGTGCCTTTCCTATGCTTGCTCTTCTCAACCTATTTTGAGATCTTCAACTGTTTCAGTCTAAATCCTTCTCTCCGTCACGGTCTGCATCCAACACCATCCCCTCAGCAAAGTGGCTCCTGATCCCTCCTCTAACAAGTCCTTTCTCCTTCTCCTGAGCTTTCCTGGCATTTGCTCCCTACTTTGGCTGACAAGGTCATCCTTACTAACCTGTCTTATTTACCCCACCAAATTGTAAGCCCTTTGAGGCAGAAATTATGCTCTACAGTTGTTTCGCAGTTGTAATCTTTTCTACTTCTTCCCACCACTCTCCACTCTGCAACAGCTCTAGAACACCTGGGCTCTTACTGAAGTGCTCCAGAGGTACGGGACTCGTCATTCTCATAATCTTCATGACCACTTACAAAGAGACAGGTGTTGATTATAAAATTAACAATATCCACCAAAATTACATCCATTTTAAAATTGTTATTTGTAAAATAAAAAATCAAGCTTCAAAATATCTACACAACCAAGCACCAAACATCTAAACCACTTGGTGTTGATTTTTTTTGCTCAGGATCAAAATATAGCAAATATTCGTATCTGTTGGACTTGGGCTTTTGCCCAAGTTTCTGGAGAAAGTTAAACATCTTGCATTTCAAAAAATGCATAGGAGCCACATTTTTAAGGAAATATTTTAGAAATGTGATTCACTTTGTAGTTTTCTTTAAATTAAAATGAAATAATACACACATATGTACACATATATACTTGTTTTCTGCAAAGATAAAAGGCAAGAGGCAATTTGAAGTAGTGATATTAATAAATGTTCAATTAAATAACACTTGGTAATTTTGTCTATAATTTTAGGACTATTTGCAGTGTAACTCTAAAGTTTTCAAATTCAAATCTATTTAGATTCTTTTCTTTGTCCATATAGAAGAAAAGGTATACCCACAACTTTATAATGTGTATTTGTATTAATATTTAATTTATGCACAGCCAGCATGCATTTAATGATGTTATTGATCACTATTTGTTTATTAGAGATTCTTGATTGAGAAATATTGAGTTGTTTAAAGATATCGATGCTTCATAATTATGTTGTATTTTAATTTAAATTCTGCTTAACCTTGTGAAGAAGAAAGCTGTAGTTTTATCAGGTATTTGCTTTATGCAAGGGCAACCAAGACACTGAAAGTTTGTGTCTGTCCAAAGTCACATTCTTAAATAAACTTGGAAAGAATCATGATGCCTTCCCTGTTAGGCTAGTAGTGATTATTTTCCCAATACATTTCACTACTGTATCCTTAATTTGTCTTGGACATATCTCTATAGAATCAGACAGAATTTAGAGATGATACTAGATTTTGAAAGCATTCCACATTTTAGTCTAGGCCCAGATTTAATTGATAACATAAATGTTGAAACAATTCAACTTTTTTTTTAATTGCAGAGAAGCCTTAAAACATAACATTATTTTAGTCTAGGCACAGATTTAATTGATAAAATAAATGTTGAAAACATTCAACTTTTTTTTAAATTGTAGAAAAGCTTTAAGACATAACATTTTTTAAAATACAACAGCGTGAAATCCAGTAGGATTTTATGGTTTGAAACCAGGAAAGACATCTAACAGCTGGAGAACAGAAATTATAAAAATATTCTCATATTCCCAGAAAGGGAATCATAGTTATTGTATTACTTTAAAATAAGTAATTTATAATGTTATTTATATTAATACTTTGTTGGTTATCATAGTTTCTTAGTAAGTACAAACTTTTTTGAGACTTGTTATATTAGAAATAAAGAATCATAATGCCCATTGTAAAGATTTTTAAAAATGATGCCCTAGGATTAATTAGAAGTAGTAGGAAGAGCTATACACTTCTTTTATACCTTTCATAAAGTATTGAGACTCTTTGATAATGTGCCAAGAAAAAGCATATGTACTCAATATATACGGTGTCATCTATCAAACCTCATGTCATCCTAGCTGAGTTATAGAATTTTATATTTAAAATGTTATTAATATTACTGCTTAATACATCTATGCATCAGAAGGAAGGTACGATTCTTTTACACATGCATTTATGTGTGTATTTGGTGGGGATAGTGCCTTTGGGTACACCTTCAAATAACCTGAAAGTAATGTTTTCAGCAAAGCTAGGAGTGGGTAGCATCTGCTCCTAACTTCATTCTACTTGTCATCATGCACTCTGGCCTTGACATTCCAAACCAGCAGGTGCCAAAGGAGAGCAGCGAAAATCGGGCACAGTGTGGATAGCAGAGATTCAGTGGCATCTGTGAGTAGCTTTGTCCTTTATGGCTGGATTCTCTCCTCACGTCAAAGGACTATTAGTGAAATCTGGCCACCAGTGGTTTTATCCAGGCATAAAAAATACAAAACTATTCATAAGGAAATCTTGTAAAAAATAATGCATATAACTCATGGAAACAACAGATATAAATAACAGATAATAAGGTTGATAGCCATTGATGGATAAAACTATTAATATTAGTAAATATAGGTTTTCACTCAAATGAATCCACTTTTAATTATTATGTCAATGTAATTTCAATAGTTCTGCTTAATATATACTCCAGTCAATATTAAAGGTAAAGTACTATACCAACAACTTATTTTTCTTTGATTTAGCTTTTATTTATCTTCCTTTTTTAGTATATAAAATATATAAATTTTAACATATATATAATGCCATCAATAAAATGCCAGTTTTATCTTCACTCCTGGGTATGAATACTCCTTGACTCATTTAAGGATATGAATTATACAAGCCACGAACTCTTCCTTCCCTGTTATATAAGATGCTGGCCTGCCTTTTGTATTTGCAATCTGTATGCTGAATAAATTGGTGTGTTTCTTTCCCTTGAAGAGGCTACATATTTCATACATATGTGGCAGTTGTAGGTACATATGTCTGTTGTAGGTACAACTCACATTCATTGCAAGTAATTACATAGAAAGGGTTATAGTGAGCAAAGTGAGTTGATAAAAATGATAATGCAAGACTCTATATTTATTCATTTGCAATGATTTCCACATCAACTTCACTCAGTTTATAAATCTAAACATTAGTTCTCTTGCTGTCAGCACTTCAAACTCCACCTGGGATCAGTCAGCCAAGCTGTGCTTTCTGCCTCCTAGAATCATCATGCAAAATAAAGATTCTGCATTTGGAATGTAGCTGACAGGTTGTTTGATGATGCACCAGACAAAAAGGAATGCACTTTTCTTCCTCAGCTGTGTAAGCTCTTCTTTCCACAGGCTTATTTCTTTAGCAAGGAAAGCAGATGTGACTGCAGAAGTAGGCACAAAGAGGTGGAGGGAAGAGCCACCATTTCATAAGCACATTTTTAATTGCAGCACTTGTTTTAAGTTGTCCGGTAAAATATTAAAATTTCCTGGTAATCAGTAGTGAATTAGCACTGATATCTTTATTCCTGAAGGAAAAAATATGAATGAAAATTTTGTTTGTGTTTTATATTTAAACAAAGAGTGTGATATTAAATAAATTGGAGATTATTTGCCAAATCACCAATTATTTCCATTTTATAATTCTTTTCCTTTGAGAAGTTCACTGTTTAAAAAACATTCTAAACTTTTTCCTGTAGCACTGAGTGTAGTGAAATTTAACAAGCTGTTTGTCTTAAACATACTAGTCATGTGTAACTCATCTCTAGGATATACAATGTTAAATTCACCAGATTCTTTTCTGCTTGAGGCTTGGAGTACCATTTATTCATAATTTTTTCTTTTCTAGGGAATGTTTTTATTTCACACAAAAATGTTACCATTAAAATATGGTCTTTCTTTTTCACTAATCAAACCTGATATCTTAACAAAATAAGAACTTTAAAAGTGAATAACTACTGAGAATCCAATTGCTTCCATGTCAAAGAGGCAGACTTTGTTATGCAGAAATCCAGTCTATTGTGGATTTATTGGATACCTGCAATTTTGTTAAAGATATAACAAGTTAGTAAGTTGATTACATACATAGCAGCTAGAAACTCATTATACTGAACTTTTAGGTATCTGCACGTGGGTTTTAGCAAACCTGTGAAAGAAAGAGTTTTGATAAAGGAACTATTCTGTTCATGTATTTAAAGGTGACTTTTGAAACATTCTCTCTGCTGTTTCTTCATCTCCTCTCAAATACAAGTAAATAAGTTTATTTATATTAGACAGCAAATCAAATAAAGTACCAAAGAAGAGTCTGAGCAGCTCAGGAGAGTTGAAGTTACCCTGCTATGGAAGGTGGGATAACAGACTAATATAAGTGACATTTCTGCAGAATGTAATTACACTACTTTTAGTGTTGTACTTACTGCATCAAACATAAAATCATCCTGGATACTTCGTATCAGTTTTTTTAACTTAGTAAGTTTATCATGAAATTAGTATTTGCCTATATAATTTAAAAGTTACTATTGAGAAAACTTTAATAAAATTGTATTAAACCTTGAAAACATCTCTTCCACCCCAAAAAGACATCACTTAAAAATGGAATGAAAAACACATCTGGTATTGTGTCTTATAGGGCCTGCTGCTCTTGTAAAGCCAGTTCATTAAACTGTTATTCTGGGCTATGTTCTAAGCTAACAGAGCAAATTTAAGGCATCTAAAACAATAATAATGCCTTGCTGCAGAGTCAGTGAACTGTGCACTGGGTAGGGCTTCATTGACTATGAGTTATTATAGGTTATCCCCACCACTGGTTTCCCATGCCATTGGGTTCTTATGATAGTACCTGGGCAGACAATTTTCATTCTTTGTTTTCCTTTAAACAGCCAAATCAGAGATGCATTTGTGATGTATCTAACAAATGCACATTCCAAAATTCATAAACTGATCATTCCTTAGAACCGTAATATTAGTGAAAGAAAACAAAACAAAAACAAATCCTAACTTCTTTGGTAAAAAGAAAAAGTAGGAATTAGTGATGGATGGGATGGCTTGGCATGAAATTGCTACTTGATAAATCCCAATGAGTATTGAAGGAGTGGAGAAATAAATACTTAACTACCAATAACTTAGGCAACTTTTTCAAATGGCCCTATGATTCCTCCATATTTTAGGCCCAAAGGGGTTAACTAGACACCCATCCCATGAAAAGCTGTAATATCTACTCTAGGAGATAGTAAAATGGCTAAAGCATAATATAAAACATAATAGTAACTGAATTATCACAATATGTGCATAATTACTAGTGAAAAGTGGGATGAAAATGCTATGAAAGAGATCCAGATAACGTGTAAAGATAATTGTTAGTTATATTCCACTGTGGCCAATCAGTATCTCCCAAAGAATAACTTTTTTTTTTTTTTTTTTTTTTTTTGAGACAAGGTCTTGCTCTGTCACCCAGGCTGGAGTGCAATGGTGCGATCTCAGCTCACTGCAACCTTCACCTCCCCGGTTCAAGTGATTCTCCTGCCTCAGCCTCCTGAGTAGCTGGGACCACAGGTGCACACCACCACACCTGGCTAATTTTCATATTTATGGTAGAGAGAGGGTTTCACCATGTTAGCCAGGCTGGTCTAGAACTCCTGACCTCAGGTGATCCACCTACCTCGGCCTCCCAAAGTGCTGGGATTACAGGCGTGAGCCACTGCGCCCAGCCGAGAATAATCATTAACACACTCTCATAATAAAACTACTGCTTATTTACTACCACCATGGACTGCCTTCCAGATGCCTGGCACTTTGCTTCTGTTACTTCTGATTTATTAATACATAATAACCCAGCAAAGAAAGTATTATTATTCTCATTTTATACATGAGAAAATGGAGGCATAGAAAGGTGAAGAAGGTAATTTTCTCAAAATCACATGGCTAAGCAGCTCCAGATCCAGGATTTCAATCTGTATCTCCACTATCTGTGCTCCATTGCCTCACATTCTTGCAAGAGACAAACCTAGTAAGTCCCTGCCTCTGCCTTTCTCTTCTTTTTACAGCCATGGCCCCCTTCACTTGACTCTCAAGAGTTCATTATGCTCTGTCCAACCTCACTCAATCCCCCCACTCTGGAAAGGAGTTTTTTTTTTTTTTTCTTTTCCAACTTTTTAGTTTTGCCAGTACATGTGCACATTTGGTACATGGGTAAATTGCATGTTGCTGGGATTTGGTGAACAAATGGGTTCATCACCCAGGTGGTGAGAACAGTACCCAATAGGTAGTTTTTTTGACCCTTACCCTCCTCCTACTCTCCCCCCTCAAGTAGGCCCTAGTGTTTATTGTTTCCTTCTTTGTGTCTATGTGTACTCAGTGTTTAGCTCCCACTTATAAGTGAGAACAGGCAGTATTTGGTTTTCTGTTCCTGCATTCATTCGTTTAGGATAATGGCCTCTAGCTCCATGCATGTTGCTACAAAGGCCATAATTTCATTCTTTTTTATAGATGCATAGCATTCTATGGTGTATATGTACCACATTTTCTTTATTCAGTCCACCATTGATGAGTATCTAGATTGATTCCATGTCTTTGCTATTGTGAATCATGCTGCAATGAACATACAGGTGCATGTGTCTTTTTGGCAAAATTATTTATATTCCTTTGGGAATATACCCGGTAATGAAATTGCTGGGTTGAATGGTAGTTCTGTTTTAAGTTCTTTGGGAAATCTCAAAGTGCTTTCCACAGTGACTGAACTAATTTACATCCCCCTAGCAGTGTATAAGAATGCCCTTTTTTCTGCACCTCACCGACATCTGTCATTTTTTGTCTTTTTAATAATAGTCGTGCCACTGCACTCCAGCCTGGGTGACAGAGTGAGATTCCGTCTCAAAAGAAAAACCAAACAAACAAACAAACAAAAACAAAACAAAACAAAAAAAAACAAGGAAACTAGCTCAGCACTCTGAAACCCAGCTCCAAGTTACCTCCAGTGCTTGTCTGGGAGAAGTAGGTGAGATTTGAGCTCCATCCTTGTCCCTAAAACCCAGTCCCCACATGATAATTTTTGCCTTCTTGTTCAGAGTGCCCAAGTTTCTGCCTGGAAAGCCTAGTAATCTAGGCCTTCTAGGACTGGGTCCCTGGCTTGGCCCAGTTATCCCTTTCTTTCTCTGGACTGAAATTCTTCCCTTGATTTCCAACCAGGGGCCTGAGGCACTCCAGCTGATGACAGTTCACTCCTTTTGTGGATACCCTGGTACTGCCTGTGTCGATCTCTTGTTGCTGTAGATTCTCTAAGATGAGGCTTCTGATGATGGGACTCCTGTACACCTCCCCATCGTCACCTTCATCACTGCATACCTCAGTCATATGGAACTACTTGCAAATCTCTAAATTTGGCCTGCTATGTTTTTCTGAAGAATTTGGCATAAACTGCTCCCTCTTTCTGGATGCTTTTTCTCACTCTTTCTTCCCCTGTTTTCTATGTCTGCCCTTATTTAGGGCTCAACTCAGCTTAGATATCACTTCCTCCAGGAAGTCGTCTCATGTTTTCCCAAGGCATTTGGGTTTACGTCTCAGTTTCCTTACTAGGCTAAGAGCAACTTGAGATTGTCATTATTGTATCTCCAGAAACTAAGCCAGTGCCTGACACATTATAGATACTTCACAAGTATTTTTTTCATTGATATAAAACTACTTACAAGGCAATTTACAAGGACCATAAATATCAAACAAGCAATACTTGGATGATACTGATCTCCAGTTCCTTATTCCTTGATACAGTAATTTCCCCCTTGATGTAATATTCTAATAGACTAGCTGACTCACATGAATCTTTTAGGCAACCATGAGTATTTTAGTTCCAGTACATAAGGATTCTAAGACCTGTTGAGAGAATTATTTCAACTTGTAGTTATTGCAAGGACTAGCAGGGTGCGTTTGTATGACTTACAGATGAGGAAACTGAGACCTAGAAAAGTGTCAGATCTGATGCCTCAGATAATGGGACATTTGAAATTATGTTTAGGTAATGATTTTGCTGAAGTAGAAATGTCAACATTTGGGACATACTTCTTATTAAGATTATTCTTTGTCTATGAGTCATATGAAAGACAAAGCATTTCTCCCTGGGAATTTTAAAAATTACTTCAGTAGATATGGTCCCAGTGGGGGGTGGGGGAATCTCTCTTCTACATATTGGAAATAATAAGCACCACTTAATTACATTATTGAATAATCTGGAAGGTAGCAGATTTATAGTACCACTGTCTACAGGTCACCTGCCACCACTCCACATCCATAGTGTAGGCTCTTGGTTAGCCATGTAGCTAGCAGTGCTATTCTGAGAAGGGAGAGAATCTTTGTCTGGGAGTAGTGATGACACAGCCAGAAGATATAATGAGTATCTCATGTGGAATGGGGACATTACAAAGACATAGAGCAAGGGGTCTGAAACATGGCAGGAGTTTCCTGGCCACATTCTCAAATGATTAGGAACATGGTGTCCTTTTATACCTTGTGGAAATCTACTGTATAGTTACTATTCTTTAAGCACAGTTGTCTTCTTTTAGTGGAAAGAAAGGATTTCTCTGTGACATGTTGAATTTGTGTTCCTTTAGGCTAAACTTGCATATACAAAATGTTTTTTAATCAGACAATTTCTGACTGTGTTATTGGAATGAAAAAAAAGAGAAAGATCAAGCTTTCTGGTCCACCTAGTCTGGCACTAACATTTATCTCACATTCACTCCTTCAGCAAGCTCTTAGAAATCTAGATTATGCCAAGCACTGTGCTGGGCACTGAAGTATTAAAGATGACTGTAGTTAGTAATGAGCAAGGCACCGTCACTGCTTCCAAAGGGCCTTAGAGCCCTGGGAAGGGGAGTGGAGGGGACTGGTTGCCATTAACCAGGGTGAGTTTTTCTTTTCACCCAGTCTTCCTTTCTGGATTCTGAAAGCAAAAATGGCCCTTCAAGAACAATGCAAGGAACAAAATCCTTTCTTTCACCTAGCTCTCTAATTTTCTTCTTAAATACACCGAAAACTCTCAGCTGGAATCTGCAGCTTCTTGACCATTGGTGAGGGAAGATTAATAAATTGCCACCCTGCCAGGGAAACTTGGGCACATGTGAGTACTTCCCACTCTGCTTGCATTCTCCGTGGGACCTCTGGGCTTGTATGAATTCATGTACAGAGACAGACATTTTATTCTTGGATGAACTTGGAAGAGGTGAATTAGCCTCCCTGTTTTAGGCATTTAAATTATTCCTTAGTCCTCTTTAAACTATGAAGGGAAATACATTTTATCCCATGCAAATACATATCCAGCCTTTTTTATTTAATTGAGTTCATGAGTCAGTCTCCTATTCTATTTTTATTTACTTATTTGGTAGTTTTGAGGAAATTTTTTCTATTTTACTAACAACCTTAAAATCCTTCTTCAGATTAAGATCAACATCTGAGGCTAGAATTTAAACCCCAGAAAAGGTAGTGAGTAAAGAATCTTTAATTTATGAAACTGAACAAGTTGACTTATCCAAACATCTCTAGGGCTTTAATGGAGGATATCTATAATTCTCTGAATTGTATTCCTTTCACAGTGATATTTTGTAATTCCATTCTATTACCCTTGCTTAACATTAATGAGATAAAAAGATCACATTATGGCGATTGATGTTCTTCAAATTGAATGCACGTTTCCATGTACAAAGCTGTCTGCTAATTTAAAAAACATAGCATGTAACATAGAATCATGACCATGGTCATCACTCAGCTGGGACCAGATAGCATTTTTTATCTATTCATTGGATTTAACAAGGCATGAGATGGAAGCAGAATACAAACTATGGGTAGATTATCCTGTATCCCTCCTTTTGGCCAATTCTTGGCAATCTCAGCAAGGAAACTGAGGCTTCATGTTTCCATGGAAATAAACCTCAAGGTCAAAGGGGCATATGGAAGGTCAGACAATGACAAAGGAACATCTGAGAGGCCATCTGGATGAGTGACCTGACATAATTAGTCATTAATCCCACTCTGGGGAACAATAGAGCTGGCAGAGAGTGTGTTTGGGCTTTGATCGTGGTCTGGGTGATCTCATGGGGAAGAGGGAAAAAAGCCCCACTTGGTAACTAAGCAGATTACCCTGGCATGCTGTTAACTAAAGACAGGGTGGCCGCGGAGGCCAGTGGGATATGCATTTTACATATTAGACTACATTTCCCTTTACTTACCACAGACCCCTCTAGGGCCATGTGGCTTTCGGATTAGCTTCTGGGTAGCATTTTTTACAGTTTACAATGGAAAGAGAGCAAGATTCCCAAAATACGTTGCTTAAAATTCTCAGGCAACAGATGGGAAGATTGCTGAAGAGCCAATGGCATTAGCCAGCTTGGTGTACAGGTGTCAATATTTACTAAGCAAAGTTTGCCAGGGTGCCTTTTGGGACAAAGCAGAGAGAATAGTTAATCAGTAAAACAATAGCAATCAGTCCGTTGTCTGTTTTTAGCAGAATGGTTAGAATTATAAGTTGTCTTAAATGGTGAGAAGTACTCATCGGCATCTGTCTTTCTCTTCAGCTCTTCTTTTTCATGTTTATTAGTCTCAGCTGACTTTGATCAGCTACCCCCCCTCACATGTAGCTAGAATCCTTCTATTTGAGGGTTGGTGATGTTTTGGGATTGGTTCTGTGCATTTTTGTAGGATGTAAAAATGCTAGCAGTCTTTATAAATGCATGTATTTCAGCAACTGCTGAAATCACCCTCTGCCCCCTAGAGATAACTGATTATACTTGCTGTGTAAAGGATGGTGACCAGATGAGGTAGTAAATATATTGGACCAAAGTCTCTTTATTAGAACAGCTTTCTGAATAATGAAATTTAAAAGTCATTGTGAGTTTTTAAATTTTGAAACCAGAATCTGATTAGTCATTTGGGTGTTATGTTACGGAAAACTACACATGAGACAGTAGAAAGGGTACTGGGCTGAGAGTCAGGAGATAAGATATGTTCTTGTCCTAACTCTGCAACTAATTTACTGTGCAGTCCTTTTTGAGCATTTCTTTATCTGTAAAATGATAAATTACACTATATCAGGAATAGAAACTATATTTTCTCTTGTAATGCCAATACAAGATGATAGGTTAGTGGCTGCCTGGACATCCACTGATAATTGTGAAAGACTCAGAGGGGTATCTAGGCTTAGTGCTAAAGAGTGGTTAGTAATGTCTGCATTGGTGTGGGAAGAGAAGTGCCAGCATGAGCACTTAACATGTATATCTCCAGATTTGATTATTATTATATCACACGCAGTTCTAATTTTAAGAAACTTGGGGAGAGATTATTTATCTAAATACTTTTAAAAACTCTTTAAAGTTCTGTGACACATCACTATTTGTGGTAGTAGCAGTAGAAGCAGCAGCAACAGCATAGGACTCTTGAAGTAGGTTAGATCTGGAAGTTATTGTGCATGCAAAAATCAGATTAGCTTGGTTGACAAAATGTAATTATAGCTCCTCAAGCAGAATGTGAGCATCCAAGTCATAAGGACCACTAATGAAATCAAAATGACAAATCAATGCTGAATGTAACCAATGACAGAAAATATCCCTTAAATAGTGTTATAGACAATTTCCACATGGCCTTGCTTTTTCTGTCCATTAGAAGGTGGATTTTGGAAGTACATCTCAAACTGGTGATGCAGAATTTTGTCCCTCCTTCTTATCCATTGAATCTGTTATATCGGGGTCCGCTTCTCTTCTGTGACATGTTAATTCACAGGAGTGATTTATTCAAGCACTCTCATTGATGCAAAAGATCTTTTATTTCTCTTCTATGATAAAAGGTACCTTAAATCAGCATACAATATAACTTGAGTAATCATAATAACTTGAGTTATTTATGGTAATATACTAACATCTTTTGTTTATGGAATGTCTACCTGTGAGAATTTTACAAATGGAGTTTCAAGTGTTTTGAAAATTGTAATACTCAGTTTCCACTAAAACCATGAGTCCCCCAACCACATTCACCGTTGAGTCCATGAGTTCTAGGAAACCAAGTTTCTGAAGACAGCCACATTTGGGGAAGAGCTGACTTTTGCTTCTTTGCCTTAAACTTCCTCTAGCTGCTTCAGCTCACTGCTAGAGAAGTTTGTGAATAGGTACTAATGTGCCCAGCATTCTTGACACTCAGAGGGGATCATTTATGAACATCCCTTCCTCATTACAACATAATTATTTTCAGAATAATTAAGAAATAAACAATAACTCATGGCCAGAAAATAAACACAGACAATGAAGAGAATTTTATTCTCAAAATTTGATTCTCTTTTTTTATGAAATGGTAAATGGAATATTTCACAATTTTTGTGAGCCAATCAAGAAAGGATTTTAAAGCTGGTTTTCACTGCTCATCGTTCAAGAATAACACTAGCTATTTGCAAATTTTGTGTGTGTGTGATTAACCTCATTTGCAACAACAACAAAAAAAATCAGAGAAGAAAAAAATCCACACAGCTATCCCTGTTTAGTTCGTATCTACTATTTAAATGAAAGACTTCGTAGTCTCTTAGGGGTTGCAGACATAAGTTACACAGGCTCAAATAATTTTAACCTGTTATGAACTACTTTCTAAATGAACATGTATAGCTGAGTCTGTGTGTGTGTTGTAGTATAGCTGTAAAACTGGGAACTCTGTGTTAACTTCCATGTCAAAAATAATGCCTATTAAATGAGGAGTAACAAAAAATGTGATCACTTACAGCTTTCACATTAGAACTCAAACAGCAATCACAATAATTGCTTGGAACTTAGAGAACATATTTTGGGAAGAAGCGTTTTATCACTGACATGGGTAAGAATTGTGCACTCATGGTGAAAATAAAAAGTGAACTAATTTTTGGCCAGTTTTATTATTTTTTAAAAAATTCTCTACATTGCAGCCTCTTCCTGCCTGTGTTAAATGCTGTTTTGCCTTTCACCCTTGGTACTCCACTGAGTGTGGGAAAAGACTGCCTGAATCCATCATAGGGAATTGCATCCCACCACCTTCTTACACAAGTGTAACAGATCCTGAAGGTTCTCGGCCTGATTTGAGAAGATTATGGGGATTTTAAAATGATGAGATGCAAATTGTTTCACAAGTTATCAGGATATAATTTGTATCAATATCCCCACACCTTCTATTAACGTTTTGTTCCAAAAGCCTCACATGTGGTGGAAGGGTAAAGCCAGACATCCCATTTATGTACAGTTCCCGCAGTCAACTTTGTCTCTTTCCTAGTACTGTACAGCACAGGTCCACTTTCATAAAACTTCTTCCCAAGACCACTCCCCTTCAGTTCTTAATTTCTACAGGTCTCTCTAATATATTTTCTATTCAGTATTTACAATTTATGACCATTTCTTAGTACATCACCAAACAAATCCAGATTTCTTCTCTACTTTCCAGAGAAGACTTCTCAGACCCTTAAGTAGAATTAATTTCTTCCTTCACTGAGATCCTAAACACTTTGCTCAAACCTCTATTCTTATTATACATATCATAATTATTTATTTATATAAATGTTGAGCTTCCTCCTTAGAATGTGAACTCTCAAACAGTAAAAATTTGTTTTTTTTCTCTCTAGTATCTTCTATAGCTGAGCAATAGTCAATAATCAATAAATTATTGTAAAAATAGTGAATGATTGAATGAAAATTTAAATTGGTGTTCTCTGAGACTAACTCACTGTAATCTCCTTGTCCTGTAGATTTTGTCTAAACATACTTCTATTTTTTTTTTCCTGAAAAAAATCATGCCTTGACTTTTATAGGATTTATTTTTATATACAAGTAATATCTTTATTTAATGATCTGTCTTGCTCTTTGCTGTGTCTCTAGTACCTGATACAGTGCCTGGCACCAAGCAGATGCTCAAAAACAGACATTGAATGGTTGTAAATATGGAGACCAAAAAAGCAAAATAATGCAAATTACAGATGCTATCAATGTTTCCTCCAGTTGGACAAACATTTCTATGTTTCTTAGGGAAAACAAAAGGCAAAATTGGTGAGGGGGTGATTGAGGGAAGATTACAGAGTTGGGAATGTGCTATCAAGCTCCAGTGCCCGTGCCCACTGCTTTTCAGTTCTTGCCCTCTCCAGTGGAAGCAGGACTCCTGGAATGATCTGTGTGAACCCAGGGAGATTCAACATGAAATTTTTGCTTCAGTTCCACTTGGACAGGCCCCACTCTCCAATTCTTACTACAAACACCTCTTCTGCCAGGCTCCACTGTACTCCCAGGTCCCTCCAGAGCAGAGGGGCTCTGGGAAGCTAACACTATACTGGGCTCACTTTTAAAGGTGAAGCTATCTTGTTGTGTATGTGTGTGTGACCCTCTTTTGAGGTTATGTTTTTTTGTGCCCCAATGACTAACAGGTTTTTTTTAAATGTCTTATTTAGGACTTGTCTCCCTTCTTCCGATTTGACTGGTGATCATTTTTTCTGTCTCTCTCATCAAACATACTTAATCTTCCCCTAAAACCTGGCTCTATCTCTTATAGCATATCTTTCACAAGAGTCTCCAAGATTTGTTCTTTCTGCTGGCCCTACTTATCTTTTGCTACTAATCATGTTTCAGATCTGGGACTGCAAACTGTGTCATTCATCCAGAATACTTATTTTGTTTGAGCCTGAGGGGCTTAATACCTAGGTGATGGATTGATAGGTGCAGCAAACCACCATGGCACACGTTTACCTATGTAACAAACCTGCACATCCTGCACATATATCCTAGAACTTAAAATAAATTTAAAAAGAAGACTTTTAATAATTGAGAAAATTTCCAGAAATCTGTAGATTTTCAGTTTCTTCTTAAAATCAGAGTTGGAAATTCTTGGTCTACTTTACCACAGAAAAACAACTAGCTGAGGATCTGTCATTACTATCATACAGGATGGGCACGCTCCACTTCTCCCCCTGCCCCACCTCTCTGCCTCAGCTTGTGTTGATCATTTATTGTCTAGACCAAGGCATTGGAGAAAGAGTCAACTACGGATGTACAGGCCATCTTCCCATTCACCTTACTACTAACATCTACTCACTTTTAAAGATCTAGATAAAGAATCTCTTACCCAATGACATTGCCCTTCTCTCCTCCAAGCAGAATGTATTCATTCATTCTCAAGCATTTGACCTACTAGGTGCCAGGCAATGGGGATTCAGCAGTAAAAAATTCAGAAGACAAGACAGAACTAGAGATATCACTTAGTCAGTCATTGGCATCAGATGGTGTTTCAGGCACAGGATAGTGTACTGTCACCAAGAAGTAGAGGTACACGGAGAAGAAAAGAGGAGAAAGGTTTATGCCATCTCTGTTCGTAATTACTGCCTTTCTCATGCCATTTTCGTGGTGTACGGGAATTATTATTTTTTACAATCACTTAATGTTTTTCCCCAAGTATTTATTTCAAAATAATTCAGAAGTATGGGATGTGACCAAATAGTATAATGGATATACCCTTCATCTAGATTCACCTAGTTTGCAATGTTTTCTTTCTCTTTCCCTCCATCTCCTCTTTTTCTCTCTCCACCATTTGAAAGTTACTTGTAAATATCACTCTATTTCACCACTAGATACTTCAGAGTGCATCTCTTAATAACAAGGACATTTTCCTTCACAGCCATATTCAGAATATTTAATATTGAAATGAAACTATTATCTAATATACTTGTTCCTATTTAAATATTCCTCCATTGCCCAATAATTTCTTTTAAAGTGTTTTTGGATTCAGGATCCAATCAGTAGTTACTTGTAGTATTTCGTTGGTATATATCTTTTGTCTTATTTGATCTAGAAAAGTTTCATAGCCTTTTGGGAGGGGGCATAATGGGAATGTGATATGGTTTGGATATTTGTCCCCTCCAAATCTCATCTTGAAAGGTGATTCCAAATGTTGGAGGTGGGACCTGGTGGGAAGTGTTTGGGCCATGGAGGTAGATCCCTCATGAATAGCTTGGTGGCCTCCCCATAGTAATGAGTGAGTTCTCACTTAGTCCACACGAGATTTGGTTGTTTAAGAGTCTAGGAGTTTCCCCTCTCTTTCTTATTCCCTTTCTTGCCTTGTGATATGCCTGCTCCTCTTGGCCTTCTGCCATGATTGTAAGCTTCCTGAGGTCTCACCAGAAACTGAGCAGATGTTGGTGCCATTCTTGTATGGCCTGCAGAACCATGAGCCAAAAGATATCTCTTTTCTTTGTAAACCACCCAGTCTCAGGTATTTCTTTATAGTAATTCAAATGGACTGACACAGAGTAGGTTTTGTGGTGTTGACATTTTTAAAGAATTCTGGGCAGTTGTTTACAGAATGTGCTTCCATTTGAATTTGTCTGACTTGAATGTTTCTTTATGATTAATTTAGGTTAAACATTTTTGGCAAGAATATACATAGATGATGATATTGTATACTCTTTATCACATCACATCAAAGGTACATAATGTCAGTTTTTTCCCATTACTGTTGATGTTAAATTTGGTAATTTAATAATAGAGTGTCCCTCAACTCAATTTTTCCATATGCTGCTCTCAACAAGTTTTCATCCCATAATTCTAGCATCTAATGATGATTCCTAACTGAGTCAATTATTGTTATGATGCTAGATGCCAGTAAATGAATTACTTCCTGTTTCTTTAATTCCCTCTACATTTATTAGTTGGCTTTTTAAAAGAATAAAGAAAACTTTTCCATTTCTCCCTCCCTAAAAGCAAAGGAAAAGAAAAACCCTTTATAAGTATCAGTGTGGACTCATGGAATGTATTTTTCTTTCTTTCTTTAGACAGGATTTCACTCTGTCGCCCAGGCTGGAGTACAGTGGCATGCTCTATATTCACTGCAGGCTTGACTTCCCAGACTCAGGTGCTCCTCCCGCCTCAGCTTCCTGAATATGTGGGACTACAGGCACATGCCACCAAGCCCAGCTAATTTTTTGTATTTTTAGTAGAGATGGAGTTTTGCCATGTTGCCCAGGGTGGTCTTGAACTCTTGGGCTCAAGCGATCAGCCTGCTTCAGCCTCCCAAAGTGCTGGTATTACAGGCATGAGCCACCAAGCCCAGTGACTCATGGAATTTTTTAAAACATTGAATGTGTAAAAGTTTATTCCTATCACTCTTCATTTTGACGTTCAGAGGCAATTACTTATTTACAAGCTGTGTTCCCATTGGCCTGTGAGCCTCTTGAATATGAGTCATAGAATATGTCTTGCAGATTTTTTCCCATTACGTAACACACATATGGAACCTATATATATTTATCAAATGATTGAGTTAATATAACTACCAAGTTGTCTATCAAATTTGTTCATGCTTTTAGCAATTAAAGTAATAAGATACTATTTATTATTTTTATTTGACAAATATGAAAATATGCTAATACTCATTTTTTATATTAACTTTTTTAGGTTTAAAAGGCCACTCTTAATAGTCTACTGGAGGATAACTAACATGTACTTAAAGTCTTTAAAATATACATTTTCTTTGACTCAACAATTTCACTTCCAGTGATATAAAGGATGCCATTTTTGAGATATCAAACCAATGTGTCTTGTGGTAATCCCCTTTTAGAGTTGTTTGGCAGCTGCCCTACCCAATGGTTCAGAGGAATTCATTGCCATGTGGAAGTGGGTGGGGGGCTGCCAAGAACAAGGGAATCATTGCTTGACTTTAAGTTTCAAAACAGAGGTTATTAAATCCATAGAGAGTTAATAGCTTAAAAGCAAATACTTTTGACTTTCAAAAGCCAGGCTTTAATGAGAAATGGGAAAAATTGCATGTTTCAATGAGTCAGAGCTTAAAGGACTGACCACAGAGTAGATGATAAAGCAGAAAAAAATCTGGAAAATTATGCAAGACTTTCCTGGGGCCAGAGAGGAGGACCCAGAGACAAAGGGAGGGGCAGCAAGGAGTCAAATGTGAATGTCCTTTTTTCCACCCTTATGGGTTGAACACCACAGAAAGAGCACGTTTTTGAATGGGAAGCCAAGAGCATGTGCTTTGATTCTCATTTGCTACCCCTTAAGGAGAACTGTAGAATGGCCTGCACCAACAGGAGAGTAGAAATGGCAACATGGCCAGCTTAAAGCAGAGAGGGGTCAGGGCTCCATAGGCTGTATGTGGTTGACAAAGAGTCAGAGATTGTCATAGGCCCAGGGAAGAACACTGGGCACAACTGAGAATTGAAGTCTTTTTTTTCCTTTCTTTTTTTTTTTTTTATTATACTTTAAGTTTTAGGGTACATGTGCACATTGTGCAGGTTAGTTACATACGTATACAAGTGCCATGCTGGTGCGCTGCACCCACTAACTCATCATCTAGCATTAGGTATATCTCCCAGTGCTATCCCTCCACCCTCCCCCAACCCCACAACAGTCCCCAGAGTGTGATATTCCCCTTCCTGTGTCCATGTGATCTCATTGTTCAATTCCCACCTATGAGTGAGAATATGCGGTGTTTGGTTTTTTGTTCTTGTGATAGTTTACTGAGAATGATGATTTCCAATTTCATCCATGTCCCTACAAAGGACATGAACTCATCATTTTTTATGGCTGCATAGTATTCCATGGTGTATATGTGCCACATTTTCTTAATCCAGTCTATCATTGATGGACATTTGGGTTGGTTCCAAGTCTTTGCTATTGTGAATAATGCCGCAATAAACATACGTGTGCATGTGTCTTTATAGCAGCATGATTTATAGTCCTTTGGGTATATACCCAGTAATGGGATGGCTGGGTCAAATGGTATTTCTAGTTCTAGATCCCTGAGGAATCGCCACACTGACTTCCACAATGGTTGAACTAGTTTACAGTCCCACCAACAGTGTAAAAGTGTTCCTATTTCTCCACATCCTCTCCAGCACCTGTTGTTTCCTGACTTTTTAATGATTGCCATTCTAACTGGTGTGAGATGGTATCTCATTGTGGTTTTGATTTGCATTTCTCTGATGGCCAGTGATGATGAGCATTTTTCATGTGTTTTTTGGCTGCATAAATGTCTTCTTTTGAGAAGTGTCTGTTCATGTCTTTGCCCACTTTTTGATGGGGTTGCTTGTTTTTTTCTTCTAAATTTGTTTGAGTTCATTGTAGATTCTGGATATTAGCCCTTTGTCATATGAGTATGTTGCGAAAATTTTCTCCCATTTTGTAGGTTGCCTGTTCACTCTGATGGTAGTTTCTTTTGCTGTGCAGAAACTCTTTAGTTTAATTAGATCCCATTTGTCAATTTTGTCTTTTGTTGCCATTGCTTTTGGTGTTTTAGACATGAAGTCCTTGCCCATGCCTATGTCCTGAATGGTAATGCCTAGGTTTTCTTCTAAGGTTTTTATGGTTTTAGGTCTAACGTTTAAGTCTTTAATCCATCTTGAATTGATTTTTGTATAAGTTGCAAGGAAGGGATCCAGTTTCAGCTTTCTACATATGGCTAGCCTGTTTTCCCAGCACCATTTATTAAATAGGGAATCCTTTCCCCACTGCTTGTTTTTCTCAGGTTTGTCAAAGATCAGATAGTTGTAGATATGCGGCATTATTTCTGAGGGCTCTGTTATGTTCCATTGATCTATATCTCTGTTTTGGTACCAGTACCATGCTGTTTTGGTGACTGTAGCCTTGTAGTATAGTTTGAAGTCAGGTAGTGTGATGCCTCCAGCTTTGTTCTTTTGGCTTAGGATTGACTTGGCGATGCGGGCTCTTTTTTGGTTCCATATGAACTTTAAAGTAGTTTTTTCCAATTCTGTGAAGAAAGGCATTGGTAGCTTGATGGGGATGGCATTGAATCTGTAAATTACCTTGGGCAGTATGGCCATTTTCACGATATTGATTCTTCCTACCCATAAGCATGGAATGTTATTCCATTTGTTTGTATCCTCTTTTATTTCCTTGAGCAGTGGTTTGTAGTTCTCCTTGAAGAGGTCCTTCACGTCCCTTGTAAGTTGGATTCCTAGGTATTTTATTCTCTTTGAAGCAATTGTAAATGGGAGTTCACTCATGATTTGGCTCTCTGTTTGTCTGTTGTTGGTGTATAAGAATGCTTGTGATTTTTGTACATTGATTTTGTATCCTGAGACTTTGCTGAAGTTGCTTATCAGCTTAAGCAGATTTTGGGTTGAGACAGTGGGGTTTTCTAGATATACAATCATGTCATCTGCAAACAGGGACAATTTGATTTCCTCTTTTCCTAATTGAATACCCTTTATTTCCTTCTCCTGCCTAATTGCCCTGGCCAGAACTTCCAACACTATGTTGAATAGGAGTGGTGAGAGAGGGCATCCCTGTCTTGTGCTAGTTTTCAAAGGGAATGCTTCCAGTTCTTGCCCATTCAGTATGATATTGGCTGTGGGTTTGTCATAGATAGCTCTTATTATTTTGAAATACGTCCCATCAATACCTAATTTATTGAGAGTTTTTAGCATGAAGGGTTGTTGAATTTTGTCAAAGGCTTTTTCTGCATCTATTGAGATAATCATGTGGTTTTTGTCTTTGGCTCTGTTTATATGCTGGATTACATTTATTGATTTGCGTATATTGAACCAGCCTTGCATCCCAGGGATGAAGCCCACTTGATCATGGTGGATAAGCTTTTTGATGTGCTGCTGGATTCGGTTTGCCAGTATTTTATTGAGGATTTTTGCATCAATGTTCATCAAGGATATTGGTCTAAAATTCTCTTTTTTGGTTGTGTCTCTGCCCAGCTTTGGTATCAGAATGATGCTGGCCTCATAAAATGAGTTAGGGAGGATTCCCTCTTTTTCTATTGATTGGAATAGTTTCAGAAGGAATGGTACCAGTTCCTCCTTGTACCTCTGGTAGAATTCAGCTGTGAATCCATCTGGTCCTGGACTCTTTTTGGTTGGTAAGCTATTGATTATTGCCACAATTTCAGCTCCTGTTATTGGTCTATTCAGAGATTCAATTTCTTCCTGGTTTAGTCTTGGGACAGTGTATGTGTCGAGGAATTTATCCATTTCTTCTAGATTTTCTAGTTTATTTGCGTAGAGGTGTTTGTAGTATTCTCTGATGGTAGTTTGTATTTCTGTGGGATCGGTGGTGATATCCCCTTTATCATTTTTTATTGTGTCTATTTGATTCTTCACTCTTTTTTTCTTTATTAGTCTTGCTAGCGGTTTATCAATTTTGTTGATCCTTTCAAAAAACCAGCTCCTGGATTCATTAATTTTTTGAAGAGTTTTTTGTGTCTCTATTTCCTTCAGTTCTGCTCTGATTTTAGTTATTTCTTGCCTTCTGCTAGCTTTTGAATGTGTTTGCTCTTGGTTTTCTAGTTCTTTTAATTGTGATGTTAGGGTGTCAATTTTGGATCTTTCCTGCTTTCTCTTGTGGGCATTTAGTGCTATAAATTTCCCTCTACACAATGTTTTGAATGTGTCCCAGAGATTCTGGTATGTTGTGTCTTTGCTCTCGTTGGTTTCAAAGAACATCTTTATTTCTGCCTTCATTTCGTTATGTACCCAGTAGTCATTCAGGAGCAGGTTGTTCAGTTTCCATGTAGTTGAGCGGTTTTGAGTGAGATTCTTAATCCTGAGTTCTAGTTTGATTGCACTGTGGCCTGAGAGACAGTTTGTTATAATCTCTGTTCTTTTACATTTGCTGAGGAGAGCTTTACTTCCAAGTATGTGGTCAATTTTGGAATAGGTGTGGTGTGGTGCTGAAAAAAATGTATATTCTATTGATTTGGGGTGGAGAGTTCTGTAGATGTCTATTAGGTCCGCTTGGTGCAGAGCTGAGTTCAATTCCTGGGTATCCTTGTTGACTTTCTGTCTCGTTGATCTGTCTAATGTTGACAGTGGGGTGTTAAACTCTCCCACTATTAATGTGTTGGAGTCTAAGTCTCTTTGTAGGTCACTCAGGACTTGCTTTATGAATCTGGGTGCTCCTGTATTGGGTGCATATATATTTAGGATAGTTAGCTCTTCTTGTTGTATTGATCCCTTTACCATTATGTAATGGCCTTCTTTGTCTCTTTTGATCTTTGTTGGTTTAAAGTCTGTTTTATCAGAGACTAGGATTGCAACCCCTGCCTTTTTTTGTTTTCCATTTGCTTGGTAGATCTTCCTCCATCCTTTTATTTTGAGCCTATATGTGTCTCTGCACGTGAGATGGGTTTCCTGAATACAGCACACTGATGGGTCTTGACTCTTTATCCAATTTGCCAGTCTGTGTCTTTTAATTGGAGCATTTAGTCCATTTACATTTAAAGTTAATATTGTTATGTGTGAATTTGATCCTGTCATTATGATGTTAGCTGGTGATTTTGCTCGTTAGTTGATGCAGTTTCTTCCTAGTCTCGATGGTCTTTACATTTTGGCATGATTTTGCAGCGGCTGGTACCCGTTGCTCCTTTCCATGTTTAGCGCTTCCTTCAGGAGCTCTTTTAGGGCAGGCCTGGTGGTGACAAAATCTCTCAGCATTTGCTTGTCTGTAAAGTATTTTATTTCTCCTTCACTTATGAAGCTTAGTTTGGCTGGATATGAAATTCTGGGTTGAAAATTCTTTTCTTTAAGAATATTGAATATTGGCCCCCACTCTCTTCTGGCTTGTAGGGTTTCTGCCGAGAGATCCGCTGTTAGTCTGATGGGCTTCCCTTTGAGGGTAACCCGACCTTTCTCTCTGGCTGCTCTTAACATTTTTTCCTTCATTTCAACTTTGGTGAATCTGACAATTATGTATCTTGGAGTTGCTCTTCTCGAGGAGTATCTCTGTGGCATTCTCTGTATTTCCTGAATCTGAATGTTGGCCTGCCTTGCTAGATTGGGGAAGTTCTCCTGGATAATATCCTGCAGAGTGTTTTCCAACTTGGTTCCATTCTCCCCATCACTTTCAGGTACACCAATCAGACGTAGATTTGGTCTTTTCACATAGTCCCATATTTCTTGGAGGCTTTCCTCATTTCTTTTTATTCTTTTTTCTCTAAACTTCCCATCTCGCTTCATTTCATTCATTTCATCTTCCATCGCTGATACCCTTTCTTCCAGTTGATCGCATCGGCTCCTGAGGCTTCTGCATTCTTCACGTAGTTCTCGAGCCTTGGTTTTCAGCTCCATCAGCTCCTTTAAGCACTTCTCTGTATTGGTTATTCTAGTTATACATTCTTCTAAATTTTTTTCAAAGTTTTCAACTTCTTTGCCTTTGGTTTGAATGTCCTCCTGTAGCTCAGAGTAATTTGATCGTCTAAAGCCTTCTTCTCTCAGCTCGTCAAAGTCATTCTCCATCCAGCTTTGTTCCGTTGCTGGTGAGGAACTGCGTTCCTTTGGAGGAGGAGAGGCGCTCTGCTTTTTAGAGTTTCCAGTTTTTCTGTTCTGTTTTTTCCCCATCTTTGTGGTTTTATCTACTTTTGGTCTTTGATGATGGTGATGTACAGATGGGTTTTTGGTGTGGATGTCCTTTCTGTTTGTTAGTTTTCCTTCTAACAGACGGGACCCTCAGCTGCTGGTCTGTTGGAATACCCTGCCGCGTGAGATGCCAGTGTGCCCCTGCTGTGGGGTGCCTCCCAGTTAGGCTGCTCGGGGGTCAGGGGTCAGGGACCCACTTGAGGAGGCAGTCTGCCCATTCTCAGATCTCCAGCTGCGTGCTGGGAGAACCACTGCTCTCTTCAAAGCTGTCAGACAGGGACATTTAAGTCTGCAGAGGTTACTGCTGTCTTTTTGTTTGTCTGTGCCCTGCCCCCAGAGGTGGAGCCTACAGAGGCAGGCAGGCCTCCTTGAGCTGTGGTGGGCTCCACCCAGTTCGAGCTTCCTGGCTGCTTTGTTTACCTAAGCAAGCCTGGGCAATGGCGGGCGCCCCTCCCCCAGCCTCGCTGCCGCCTTGCAGTTTGATCTCAGACTGCTGTGCTAGTAATCAGCGAGACTCCGTGGGCGTAGGACCGTACAAGCCAGGTGCGGGATATAATCTTGTGGCGCGCCCCTTTTTTAAGCCGGTCGGAAAAGCGCAGTATTCCGGTGGGAGTGACCCGATTTTCCAGGTGCGTCCGTCACCCCTTTCTTTGACTCGGAAACGGAACTCCCTGACCCCTTGCGCTTCCCAAGTGAGGCAATGCCTCGCCCTGCTTCGGCTCGCGCACGGTGCGCGCACCCACTGACCTGCGCCCACTGTCTGGCACTCCCTAGTGAGATGAACCCGGTACCTCAGATGGAAATGCAGAAATCACCTGTCTTCCACGTCGCTCACGCTGGGAGCTGTAGACCGGAGCTGTTCCTATTCGGCCATCTTGGCTCCTCCCTTAAAGTCTTAATTTTAAAGACTTTCTGTCTTCAAAGCATAGAGGTGATACCAGGCAAACAGGCAGCCCAAAGCTGGACTCAGAGGTAAGCATCAGTGTGCCGAGGGTGGTGCATCATCAAGCCACAAGACCTACCCTTGGGAAAGGCCCATGCCAGAAAATAGATCAAGGGTTTATCATCTGCAGACTTGGCAAGTGGGGATGCATGATTTCAAACTGGTACAAGAGACCAGAAAGATGGTCTCTATGGATTGTAGAGCTATCTGAATACGTAAGCTACCCCTGTACTCAGACACCATCTTGTAAAGAAGGGAAAGTTTAATATTTGTTGAAAGGCTATGGAATGAAGGAAAAAAAATTAAATTACAAAAACATTTATAGTGGCATCTTATTTTTGTTAAGAAAAACTACATTTATAAATATGGGTGGAAAAAAGTATCTGTGTGTGTGTGTATTATATATGTATATATACATATATATGCTTATATATGTATATACACATATACATATATATGCTTATATATGTATATACACATATACATATATATGCTTATATATGTATATACACATATACATATATATGTATATATACACACATATAGATATACACACACATACATACATATACACATGTTAATAATAGTTACTACAGGATGGTGGAAATACAGGTGATCTGAATTTATTTCTTTTTTTTTATTGTACTTTAAGTTCTAGGGTATGTGTGCACAACGTGCAGGTTTGTTACGTATGTATACAGGTGCCATGTTGGTGTGCTGCACCCATTAACTCGTCATTTACATTAGGTATATCTCCTAATGCTACCCCTCCCCCCTTCCCCCACCCTACAACAGGCCCTGGTGTGTGATGTTCCTCTTCCTGTGTCCAAGTGTTCTCATTGTTCAATTCCCACCTATGAGTGAGAACATGCAGTGTTTGGTTTTTTGTCCTTGCGATAGTTTTGCTGAGAATGGTGGTTTCCACCTTCATCCATGTCTGTACAAAGGACATGAACTCATCCTTTTTTATGGTTGCATAGTATTCCATGGTGTGAATTTATTTCTTTAAATTTATTTGTATCTCCTAGTTTTCTACAACGAATAGGAATTTGTTATGTAATAATTTTTGAAAATAGTATTTTTAGGTTTCTAGTGAATTGCAAATACTTTGAGCATGAATAGTAAACAATTTGGTTTTAAAAATGTGTTTTTGTATACATTATTTTAAAAATATAGGACATTTAGAGTTAAGTTTCACATATATCCTTTACCAAAAACATATTCAATGATTCGATTCTAAATGTGGAGTCATTAAATATTTGTCAATCATATTCTTTATTTTTGAAAAAGATTCAACTTTCTTGCTGAATCTTTGTCCCTATATTTGTTTCTTTGCCCAAGTTCACTTACAGGGCAAACTATAAGATGCTTTTTCTATTGGCAAGCTGGTCACAAGAAGATTATTAAATTTTAGAGTTGGTTAGGACCATCTACTCTGAAGTCCCATACCGAGTGACATAAATACTTCCTACTTTGTTCCTACATGGAACAAAGTAAATTTAAAAAGTATAGTAAAAAGTATAGTTAAAAAAAAAGAACTCTGTTTTTATTACATATGTGGGAAAATTTCGATTTGTCTCCCTGTCACAAATTTCTCAGTCTTATTGTTAATGGTCCAAGATCAAAGCAAGGTCTGAGAGTAGGCGTTCTGGAGTTGTTTGGGGTTAGGTCAGTTGTAGCAGCTGTTTGCATTTAAAGTTAAGTTTCTGTTCCAAGTCCTACCCATCCAATCATAAAAGGGTAAATGAGGTGAGATTGGCCAGCAATTTATATCTGGGTCAAAACTTAAGAGGATTGTCAATGTACATGGCTCTGGAGTCGGAGTATTGTCTACTTTTGAGGTACAGTGCATTTTCATCATGCTATTGAATGGCTTTTGTTTTTGTTGCTTTTTTTTTTTGTTTGGTTATTTGCTTTTTAGGCTTTGTTGTTGTTGTTGTTGTTAAAGTAGATGTGCCTTTAAGCTTTGTTTACTCTTGGCAATAATAGATCTTTTTGCTTTAAGGAAACAAAGCTTATAAAAAAATCTTACAAGTCGTTTTGGACGTCAAATGGCTCTTACAAATGATTTAATTATAAGTTAATCAAGAACATGTGGATTATATTTCTCTTCCTAAATACTCATTGGTTTAACATTGCAGGCAAGCTCTTAGAGTGCTTCAGAATATTTGTTGTTACTTATTGGCTTTCCAAATAGGAATGAAGTGATGGAGAAAATAAAAATTCAGGCCAGGCACTGTGGCTCACACCCGTAATCCTAGAACTTTTGGAGGCCAAGGTGGGCGGATCACAAGGTCAGGAGATCAAGACTATCTTGGCCAACATGGTGAAACCCCGGCTCCACTAAAAATACAAAAATTAACTGGACGTGGTGGCGTATGCCTGTATTCCTAGCTACTCGGTAGGCTGAGGCAGGAGAATCACTTGAACCGGGGAGTCAGAGGTTGCAGTGAGCCGGAATCACGCCACTGCACTCCAGCCTGGCGACAGAGAGACTCTGTCTCAAAAAAAAAATAAAAATAAAAATAAAGAAAACAAAATTTAGATCCCTTTCTCCAATCACCTCAAACTGTTAGAACAACAGTTTTTGTATAAGCATTCATTCATAGGCAGAAGTAGTAGTTAATGGAACAAAATTTGCCCAATGACATGCTCTATTTAAAAACGTTCTTTTTGTTAGAGTGGTCAAAACTATGACTTATTCCTTTGTGAAGACAGCTGAACCTAGGGCTTTCTTGGTTAGCGT
This sequence comes from Homo sapiens, assembly GCF_000001405.40. Classification (NCBI taxonomy): domain Eukaryota; kingdom Metazoa; phylum Chordata; class Mammalia; order Primates; family Hominidae; genus Homo; species Homo sapiens. The sequence goes on along the minus strand of NC_000006.12, from coordinate 100,193,659 downwards.
ACATCATGGCATTGCACATTGGCACGTTTTTCAGTGATATTGACATGCATTGCTTAAATGAATGAAAATTTTTACTGTATGTAACACATTTTGTAGAAACTATACTTTCTTATACCAATTCATAGACCGATGCATGTAACCTTGCTCTTGAAAAATGAAATTATATTATCTTTTTGCCATATTTATTGAAAAAGGATATAATTTTATTTCTATTTTTTTCTTGCTCTTTTTCTTTGAATAGGAACATCAGCTGGCCTGTGCCTGAAACTCTTTCTGTATACATTTTCTAAGAAATGCTAAGGTGTGGTAATTGCTAAGGTGGACAATTGCTCAGGTGTGGCATTAGCTCAGTCCATGCACTGATATGTAAACCTATTGGCAAATTCTCTTTTCAAATGACTTAGTCATATAATCATATTGATTTAGCTGATATGGTTATTCTTCTTTCACACTACTGCTAACCAAGAATCAAATTTCCTGCTATAGCTTCCTAGGCCCTGGTCTGGACTGCTTTGACCTCCTTTTGCACCCTTCTCTGTCTCACTGTTCTCCAGCCACACTAACCTACCTTCTGCTTCTCAAAGGAAAGCAGCAAGCATGCTGCCACCTGCTTTTTCCCAGGCCTCAGCACCGGTGGGCCTCAGAGATGTTTTTCCTGTCCACCTATTTGAAGACACTGCATGTCTACTCCCTTGAAAATTCTCCTTCCATACTTAATTTCCTACATTGAATATGTCACTATTTGGATCATTTTAATGCATTTATTTTTTTCCTACCAGCTTCCCTTCATTAGAAAATAAGATTTAGGGGAGCTTATTGTCTTGATCAATGATGTGAGAAGGAGGTTGGCACATAGTAGGTTCTAAATCAACATTGTATAATGAAGAAATAATGAACAAACCAATGTTACTTTCATATAACCCTTGCAGAAGACTGTATATATTTCTTTAGAGAGATGGGTTGCTGTAAAAAAATGGAAAGAATGACTCAAATAAAGAACTTTAATGCTGGGGCTTCTGCTGGAGATTAGGACCCTTAAGTGTGCTCCATGTTTTCCTCTGGTCCAGAGAATTTCACCTCTGGTTGAAGAAAGAACCTTATCCCCACCAAAGAATAGTGCCCAATGGAGAGGAAGCATCTCTAGGACCATTCCTGGAGAGATGGATTAGCAACAGGGAACAAATGGCTATGTCACAGCATAAAGAAAACACTGCTGAAGAGGTGGTGGCCAGGAAAGCCACACTGCATGTTCCTGAAGCTTCTAAGAGATGGAGAGTTGGTAATGGATGAGTGATCTTCATGATCGAATCTACTCAGAAGAAAGGGAAAATAAGAGCTGTCTGGAGTTTTGGTAATTTGTCCTGCAGGGCTTGCCAAGAGAGAAATCATTATAGTTTAAAAAATCAATATTATTATTATGCTACCTCTTAATTAGAGTCCCCAGGTTGTTGTATTATGGCAAACTTCATTACATATTTTCAAATAAAACCTGCCCCCACTCTACTTCCAAGAACCAACATCCCTTGGGTGCCACAGCTATACTCATCTTCATTTGAGCTCAATATCCTGTTTTTATAATATAGTCCCCTTCCTCTCATCATTTGAAAACATTTCAAAAGTAAATTGACTTTTTTTTGGTGTGACCTCCTCCTTTCATGTCCCTAAAAGAATTAAAGCTGGGCAGCAAAAACAATATTGCTTACATTTTTACAAAAATTATTATTTGAATGTAGAAGATTTTCAGTCTATGAACTATAAAGTTTTATTTTGTTCCTACTAAATTTAATTTGAGAGATTGAATGTATTTGTATAATATGATTTAAGGTTTTCAACTGGGAATAATAAAGTTAATAATAAACTAATAAATTTATTGCCGCTCAAATAATGAGTGGAGTAATGACTAACGTGTGTGTGTTTGTGTATGTGTGTGTGTGTGTGTGTGTATGTGTGTGTTGTCTTTCTTTTGGTTATAGATGGAATAGTTTACATATGGTGACAATAAGTAAAGGACCAGATCTCTCATTCCTCATTCAGTTCAGTTTAATACAAACCAACAAACATATCAAACAGATATAATTTAGCCAAATTAAGATTTGGACATTTGAGAGCCTGCCTATGAAAACAAGTGTCGTGATTTTCACGACCATAGGGCATAATTTGGTGATTAAATATGACCTTATTTGGTGGGCAGGAGGTTTCAGTCCAACATAGATCAAGGTAAGAATCTAATTTCAGAATAAAGCCAACTGATAAAAATCAAGATGCCATTTTGAGTAATCTAAATTTTTTCAGTCACTTTTCTTTGGATTAGAGTGTTCTAATAGGTAGCATTGCACAAACAGGAAAGTTTTATGGAAGTGGGGAAATATGGCTTTGTTCTAAATGTTTTATTTCTAAAGTTCGAGGGCCATGTAAATGAGGACAAAAAAGAATTGTTAGGGTCAATGCTGGCAATGGGGGAGTGACGGTCACAGAAATGAATCGTTTAAAGAAAGGGAAGATATCAAATCTGCATAGATTAAGGGAATAGCTATTATGTGAGCCAAGCCTCCTTTTTCTGATCTCCAGCTTTCCCTGTTCCATCTTTTTTCCAATTCAAAAATGCTAGAAGAGGCAGCACAGGCAGCAACAGCTCCAACAGATCACAAGCCTGGCACTGCCAGAATCTAGGCCAGTCACAGCTGCAAATCTTCCTTCAGCTTTGGGGTCCCTGGCATTAACTGGCAGCTTTTCTAGGCTCGTGGAACAGCTAATCAACAGCACAATTCACACAGGGGGAAGAGGCAAGAGGCTCTCTTTCAGGCCACCTCTGTAGACCTTCAAGTCACACAATGTATTTTTAAACAATAGTATAAACGTGGCATATAGACACTATCTAATTCTGAGATGTGTGATGGGTTAAGTGTATTTAACTATGACTTTAAACATATTAGGGCATCAAATTGTCTTGCAGCAACATCTATTATTTCAAAGTAGATTTTTGAGCTCCAGACAATGGTGTGCTTGTTTCAAATAATGTTTCCCATTATATTTCCCTAGAAAGGCTCCAGAGAGTTTGCTGCAATGAGATTCAAATTACTCACAAGTTTACTACACAGTTCATATGAAAATTCTAGTGGGGAACATTGTTATGGATGGGGTAGCAAAAGTAATATTATTTATGCATCTAATTTTTAGAAAAATAGTTCTCTTGATCTAATTAGAAGTTCTAATAATTAGAGTAGGACCAAAAGTTACATCTGAATTGGCAAGGCAAGACCATTTGGAACACGTCAAAAGTCCATTGTTATCTTTTATGAGGAAGGGGTATATGTAGGCAATAAGAAATCGTCCTCATGTGCTCAGTTTTAGACCTGCTTTGGCATATTCACTCTAACTTTCTTCTCTATTTTAAGGGAAATAAAAGGAGCCTGAAGGTATTGAAGCAAGTACAGAGGAAAAATAAAAAGAAAGAAAAAAATAACTTTCTAGATGATAATGGTGAAATTGGTCCTTATTTATTTATTTATGTAGTCTGGAAAGGATTCAAGAGTAACAATTTCTGTCTTCGAGTCACTACATTTCTGTAAAGATTAGCATAAATAAAAGGAGAGTCTTCAAATACAAGGAAAGTTTGGTCAAGGAACACAGAGGTATCCTCAGGCATTTCTGCCCCATAAGTATGATGGAAGATTGGCTCAGACCCCAATGTTCTCACCAAAATACTTGTTGACTCCAGCAGGGCTCAATAACTCAGGGTCATCTATGGCATTTGTGTCCTGCCCGCACTACTTTCTGTTCTCCCACCATACCCTGTCCTTCCTCTACTCTCACCCTGGCATGGCCCAAACACAATGCAATCTGTTTCCTTATTTACACACATACACACAGACACACACACACACTAGCCACTAATGAAAGACCCTTTTGGAAGCAGCAGACTTTATAGAAGGTTTTGGGGAGATAATGGTTTATACCAGAAAAACTCAAGCCACATAAACTTAACAATTAGATGTCATAAACCCTTTGCCATGCCTCCCAATTCACCCAACTGTTCCTTATTTATACTCTTCTGTTTCTCTCCCACTCTATTTGTTTGTCTTTTCATCACTCCAAATTGCAATTGCGTAGCGACTTAATCCCTTTTTTGCTTGCCTTCTGCCAAACCTTGCTGTCATGATTTCACTTTTCAACCCAACCAGTTATCAGGTATTTTTCCAAACAAAAGACAGTTATTTTCTTCAAAGGAATTCTAACACCAACTATTTCAAGGTATTATTATTTTTTTACTTTGCTACAGTTTGAAATACGATGAACATATTTATATACTAAAATAAGTGTAAAACAGACTGTCAGATGAGGTGATATACATATCAGTTCTAGTAGAACCCTAGATGAAGAGAAATGCATTTATTGATTCAAGAATATTTATGTGCTCAGTTATTTAAAAACTAAAAAGCAAAGAAAGTCCTTGCTGTCAGGGAGTTTACATTCCAGTGGAAGAAGGCAAGCAAAAATCACATAAATAAATCAATAAATAGAATATGTCAGGTGGTGACATGTGCTATGGAAAAAATAAAGATGGTGCCTACAGAGTAAACAGGATATAGGTATGATATTTTACACAGCATTCAGCAAAGTCTTGAAGAAAGTAAAGCTGTAAGCCATGCCAATATCTGGGGAGAGATTCTAGGAAGTGGAAATAACAGATACAAAGGCTCTGAGTCAGGGGAGTGTGAGGCTGTTTTTAAAGAATAGCCATATCCAAGTGACTAAAGCAGAGTAGGTGAGAGATAAAATCAAAGACCGTCCAATGTGATGGAGGGCCATTTAGGAAATAACTTTAGAGTTTATTCCATGTGAAATAAAAAAACCATTGAAAGACTTTGTGCAGAGGAGTGCTGTGACATGACTTTTTTTTTTAAAAAAAATATTGCTGCTACGAAGATACTGAAAGGGATGAAAGTAAGAACAGAAACAGGAACACCAGTTAAAAGATTATTGCAATAGTTTAGACAAGATAGATGATATTGGCTTAGACAAGGTCAATAGTAGTGAAATCATGAGAAATGATCAAGAGTGATGCCGATATTTTAGGGTAGATCAATTTGAAGGATGGAGTTGCCATTTACTGCAGGAGAAGCAGGTTTAAGGAAGAAAATTAAGAGTTCAGTTTTAGACATGTTATGTTTCAGAAGCCTGGAGCAACAGAGAATAGGTGTAAACTGAATACACACTTCCAGAGTTAAGGAGAGTGGTTGATGATCATATAGAACATCATGTAGATGGTATTCAAAGCCATGGGACTGGATGCAATCACATCAAAGTGTGGTTCCAAGGATCGAACACACAAGAAACTCAGAAGATGTGGCTAGTACTGAACTAATCAACCTCATCATCCCACTGAATAATACTGAGAGGTAGACTCTTTGAGAGCCCTTTCAGCTTTAACACTGAATTGCCCTATTTTACAACTGAAGAAATTTATGGCTGAGCCTGGGGAGAATCTCTTAAAGCAGGGGTAGAGCTTATGATTTCTGAAGGCTTCATTTCCTAGGTCACTTGGAAGCATAAAAGTGATGGGAAAATGGTGACCATGAGTGTGGAGCACCCTCAGTAAGGTTGGCTAAGAAAGGTTAGTGGGGTAGGGCATAGCTAGAGGAGGCTCTTGGGCAGAGAGGCTATTTTTAGGATAATAAGACTTGAAGTATTTAAATGCCAAAGAAAGAATCCATTTTACAGGAAGTGGCAATTTAAGGAGAAAGGGTATAATTGGTAATGTATGGCTTCTGAGAGAGGATAAAGGGCCAAATCTAAACCACAAGTGAAGGAACTGGCTTCAGGAGGCAGAACAGCTCCTCTATGGCTAGATTTAAATGACAGAATAATATTCCATTGGATAAATACACTACCATTCCTCTGTTATTAAATGAATCTTCCTTCCTTCCTTCTCTCTCTCTTTGTTTCTTTCTCTCTCTTTCCCAGTCTCCCTTATTTCTTTCACTATTACAGGTTATTCTTGTATGAATATCTCTAGTTACAAGTAGAAAATGAGCATTTAAATCCTATTCCCTAAACACTGATAATAGTTGGGTTTTTACCAATATCATATCACTGTAGTTACAAGTTCTTTTTGTTTAAGATGCTATTATTTTGGCCTTTCTTATAGTAGTATCCTAACTGATAAATCCTAACTAATTTATACCTAATTTTACTGCAGCATTTTCACAATATATTATATATGTACTACCCTATAGAAACTTGTTTCCCTACCCCACTGAGAACTGAGTTCCTATCACTCTCCTAGAAATATTATTCTTAGGTAACTACTAAATTTTGTCAAAAATTAAAATTAGTGAAATAGGGAAATATAATATGAAACAGTTGACTGGGCTTCAAGAAGCATCAAACTGTAGCATTATTATGAAAATTAAATGACAGAAAATAAACAGCATTGAAGTCCTGAAAATTTTTAATTACTATTTTAACTAGAATGCAAAGCTGTAGATTTCCTTCAAAAGCCTTATTTGTTCATTCTTAATTTTTAAAAAATGATTTTTAATTCATTTAAATGTTATAGAGTCTATTCTGAGTTACATGTTGTTCTCAGTGCTGGGCACACCAGAATGGATGGTCCCTGCTCTCAGAGTTCAGCTAAAGGACTTAACAAGTAAGCTAAGAAGATAATAGTAAGATAATATACAGTGATGAGTACTACAATGCAGATAGACTAAATTAATTGGAACATATCCGTTAGGATATTTTTATAATAAAGGCCAAAATACAGTAGCTTAAACAAATAGGAGTTTATTCTCTCACTGAACAAGACACTCTGAGGCTGTTAATAACTGCTCCACAGTGTGGGTGACTCAGGCTCTTTGAGTCCTACTGCTTTGCCAGCCTCATCTGTTGCTTCTATTTTTGTGGTCTGAGATGGCTGTTCAGCTCCCTCTACAATGACTATAATTCGGTGAGCAAGAGGGGAGGTGGGGAAGGGGAGGAGTACAGCCACCCTTCAAATGACCTGAAAGTGGTGTACAGCACCTGTGATCACGTACCACTGGCAAGAACTTCGTTACACAGCCATACTGGAGAGGCTGAGCGGTGTCATCTTCAGTGGAGTGTTGACGTGCCCAGCTCAGGATAGTGCAACTAAAGGAGAGGTGAACCTCTACCACCCTGGGCAAAAGAGAGGTCCACGAAGGATTTGCAAGAAAAGTGAGGTTTGAGTTGAGAACTTGTTTCAAGAATAGGGCCTTGGATTTAAATAGTATTTTATTAATAATGAGTGATTTTTCCACACATTATTTGATACAATACTGACAACAGCCCTGATAGGTAATCAGGGCCAGTGGGACTAATTTTATATCATAAATGAGAAACAGAGACTTGGGTTAAAGTGATTGTTCAAGGTCACTTGTCTAATAAGGGATCCTAAAGTAAAACCCATGTTTTCTGACTTCTCTAATCCAATGATCTTGCAGGGAAGACAGCAAAATTTGACTAGTACTGAATTAAACTGGTATCTATTAACTTATGCCTTATTTTAAAGGCATTTTCTATTTAGGGACTCTTTGTTGCTTCAGCAATGTATCATCCAATTTAACAGTCTGTAAGAGTAAGTGGAATGATGATAGGAGAAATATAAATGGTTATTTTCATGAGTTTAATTTATCACACTGAGAAAAACATCTAGACTTTTACAAAAGTCTAGGAGAAGAAGGAAGGAGACCAAGGTCCCTGAGATACTGATGAGGAGTCACAGCCCTTCCTGCCCTGGCTGACTGTTTCTACTTAGTGTGAGTGACTTCATTTGCAAAAGTGACTCTTGACGCCAACTGCTGCCCTTCAGGGAGACTGTGGCTGAGGGAACTAAAGTCTTAGTTTTGCTTTCACACCTTTCACAAGTAGAGACTCAGTGGCAACTGCTCGGCCCAGTATAACACTGGCTGTGACCACCTTCCTTAAACTCTTCATCTTAGTTGTATCTCGGATCTTAAAGCCTTTGCAGCCATCATGTATGCTTTTACATAGGAAGCATAAATTGTGGGGTCCTCATTTCATATTACACATCGGTGCATGGCTGGCTTCCTGTTACTTACACTTAGCATGCCTTATGGGTATTATTGTTTGTAAAATAAGAGACAAAATTTTACCCAGTTTCCCAATTAATTTCCTTTCAATAACCAAAAAATAAAAATAAATAAAGCCCTATCCCCGAGTCTATCTTGTGATGTGCACAGCTCAGCCTCTTCTGGAAAAAATCCACGATAATAGCATTAGTCCTGGAACACAAATTCTCCATGTGCCTTTCTTCTTGTGCTTAAGGTTTTACATTTTGGGGTGTTTGTAAGATGATGTATATCAGAGACATTTATTTAAATGAATAGATGGATCTATGAAAATTGATTCAAAATATGATAAAATTAGTCAATGCTGTCATTAATTTATGATGGAGAAGTGATGGGGAAGATGGCAAGGATAGAAAGAGAGGGAGAGTAGGAGATTGAGTAACAGACAAAACATCTGCTTCCTCTGATACCTTGTACAGTTAAGAAAGAGCATACTTCTGAAGTGGGTTTTTCTTTTCCTCAGAATAATTTTGGCATTATGATAATAACATCTACCACAACTTTCTTCTCCCTGCTTTTTTTTTTTTTATTGAGAGGGATACAGTATATTTTCATGGGGGAAGTGAAGAGCTGCCAATGCATCAGTACCTCCCATCCCCAGTACAAAGAATCTTCACAAAAACCCCATGGATATTCCCTAACTTTTGTTCTCTCCAAAGGATGTGATGAGAAAAGAGACAATTCCAGTCTGGAATAGACACAGGTCTCCTGTCAAAAGAGCTTGAAATCAAATGAAGGCTTTCCGTCTGCTGCACAGTGCTCCTTGTTTCCGTGCGAGTATGTTTGTCCTCCCCTTTGCTTTGGTGTCACACTCTAGGGACAGCTGTGGTCATTATCACCATCATCATCATTGTGGGACATGCTAGACTTCACAGATCCCTTGATCTTTATACCTTGTCCCCAAGGGAGGATATGGTTTTCCTCCTTTTCCATCACTGGCCAACTCTCCTCCCCATGTAATAAATAAGGTCATGAGGCTGGTCAGCAGCTGCTCTCCCTCTATTTGTCACAACTAGCTGGGCTCTTTCTTCTGCCCCATTTGGCTTGAGACCTTTGCTCACCCCTCACTTCCTTTCTTATCCTAGTTCTCTGCTTCAAACCCTTTTGGCTAATATTAAAATTCCCCCAACTCCTATAGTCTTTTAAAATTTTCCCTAACTCAAAGCTTAGAAAAACAAAAAGATTTTTAAATTAAATTTGCTAAAAATAGTGATAATGGAAGTATTTTTCAGAAAAATGAAAAACTTTTGGAACCACATTTTTTTCATCATCTATCTATTTTCTAATGATTTTTAAAAAATAAACCATAAGGCCAAAAATTTAAAGGCAATTAACCAGTTAGTTATGTCTTGCATCTGGAAATGGGAATATTTAGTTTGATTGCCAGGTGTCCTCATGTGTATCAGCTGAGTGATCATTTACAATGGGGAATTATAAATTACTAATTTATGAATTTGTGGTATTATCCAGATGTAGCCCTTAAGATTTCTCCTTAGTTAATAGAATGAACTTTGATAGCTTATAGGCTTTTATGCACTTACAGAAGTGTATCAAATCATTGTAAATAGAAACATTTTTCTTTTTATTTAAGGTAGAAATAAAATGTTGATCAAATAAGGTTATTTTACTTCTGTTACACCCTCAAATCTTATTATACTCTGTATTTGCCTTAAATTTAACTTACACGTTGGCTTCTCAGATGAAGTGTTTTTCATAGAGTTACACATATACAAACACACACACACACACACACACACACACACACACACGGAGAGAGAGGAAGAGGGAGAGGGAAAGGCAGAGGGGGAGGGAAGGAGAATAACTGCAAAATTCTCTGCAGGTAAAATAGATGGCTATTTGTGGGGAAACAGATGTCTGAAGAAGGCAGGTACTTGATGTTCTCTGCAGCCTGTTTCTCATGCTCTCAGAGAAAATCTTCTCATGGTTGCTTTATCTTATCTTCTAGGACTCCGCTCAGACTTTACATGTTCGTGAGGTCTTCCCTCTTTTAGGTGCACCCATTAAAAGAGTCCCAGGTTCCCCTGCCCTCAAATGCTTTTTGAAATCATTCTGATTCCTTTTCTTCATGATCCTGGTTTCATTCTGACAGTATCTTGCTTATTGTTCAATTACTTATTTATGGACTGTTTCCCCCAACTACAGTGTAAGCTTCCCTTAATTATCTATTTTGTCACCACTGTGTCCTGAGTGCCTTATCTGACACCCAGGAAAGTTAGTAAGTATTGAATGAATATGTGAAGAATTGTTGTCAAGGTCACAGAGAAAAAATTCAGATCTGGTACAAAATTGGAGGGGACAGGGCACCTCCCAGGCAAATGACCCTGGAAAATTCTTTACAAGCCATGCTGTTTTGTGTCATAATAGCAAAAATTTCAGCTTCTTTATCTGCAATCACTGCCTTTAAAGGAAAAAGGGAGAACCTTGAAGATTGTTATTCCTGAAAAAACAGAGAGAAAAATTATCTTAAAAGTAAAATTAAATGGGAAAGAATAAGAACATGAAGGAAAGAAAAGATGATATTGCTGAAATGGTTAAAGAGTTAAAAGAAATACTTTAAGGAGATCTTAAGAAAATATTTAATAAATAAAAATTGCATATATTCAAGGTATATAATGGGATGAATTAATTACACATACATTGCATAATTATTACAACAACATTAATTAACACATATGTCACCACCCATAGTTACCATTGTGTGTGTGTGGCAGGGGGGCAGTATGTGTGTGTGTGCGTGTGTGTGTGTGACTTTTCTAGTAAAGATTGCTTTTATCCTTTGAAATGAGATCAGTGATTTTCAATATGGGGGACTTTATTTTGAAGCATATCCTCAGAGATCATAATTGAAGTCCTACAACCAGAAGGACCTTTGCATCTCCTCAAGTCTGTACATCTCTTTGGAGGGCCAGGGAGGCCTTCACACTTGGGCAGAGATGGTCACTGTTGCTCCTTCTCTGTTACTTTCTCAATATCCCTGCCCTCTTCTTAGACCAGCACGTGGACATAGGGGTGGGGCAGTAGCAACTCAGGAACCAGCTGAGCTGCATTTGCTCCACTTGGACAGGAAGTAGGAGAAGCCTGGGGTCCAACCTGAAGGAGGCCTAGAAATCAGAGAAAGTTGGTGAGAGAGTACAGCTTGCTTTTAATTCCCCTGTTCACAGGTTTTGGTATCAAGTCTGGAGCTGAAGCTAGGAGTCAGCCAGGGGATTACATACAGAATGAGACAAGAGACCAGGTTCATTATGAGGGAAGAGAAGAGAAAGGGTAAAGGTTCCTGGGCTCAGAACCAAAAAATAAAAACAAAAGAGGACAGCAAATTTACTTTCAAATCAGCCTTATTTTTAAGCTCTGAAGTTCATCAGACAAGGGAGAACCCATCTTCTCAGAGAGAATAACTCTCTCTATCTATTCAAGAAAAAATAGAAATCAGCTTTTAAAAACCCACAATCTTTAATACAGAAACAGTTATATAATACTAGACTATAAAATTCAAGACAGTCATTAGATGATAGACAGATCTGAGACAGACTTGGCCTTTATGCTCCTGGGGTGCCCGTTCTGAAGGACAGTGAGAAAAAAGACCCAGAAACTCACAAATTAACACTTTTGATAGGCCCAGAAATTACAGATCTCATAAACATCTCTCCAGGAGTGCTGTTTTGGGTGAGGAAAAAAGAGATGGGGAGGGAATTGGGGGAAAGATATCTCTGCTAATTTCTCTCTGCTTTTCTCTTTTGCTGATTTATTAAATAATAGGCTGGATACATTTAAGCAAAGCAAATATAAATAAAGAATACTGCACTTGAAATCTTGGAACTGCCCAAGGAATCATGGGGTTTAGTTGCTAGTTCTAAGAGATAATCAACGGGGCTTGGTTTTTTATCTTTATAACTATCCTGCCTCAGAAGGAACAGGTTCATCAAAAGTCTCCTCACTTTACAAATCATTCTGAAAGTGGCAAAACTACGGAGACAACAAAAAGATCAGTGATTGCCAAGGGTTGAAGGTAGCAGAAAAGGATGCATAAGCAAAACAGTGGAGTTTTAGAGCAGTGAAACTACTGTGAATAGTCATGTAATGGTGGATACCAGTCATTACACATTTGCCCAAACCTATAGAATGCACAACACCAAGAGTGAACCCTAATGTAATCAATGGACTTTGGGCAATTATGATGTGCAGTTACCAGTTTTAACGAATGTATGACCCTGGTGGAGGATGTTGATACGGGGAAGGCTATGCATGTGGGAGGAGGACAAGAAGCATATGGGAAATCTCCATACTTTCCTCTTAATTTTGCTGCAAATCTGAAACTGTTCTAATAAAATAATACCTTTTTAAAAATCAAATAAAGCCCTATGGTTGCATGGGATTTTTTTATATGGGAGAAGCTGGGTGAAGGGTACACAGAATCTCTGTATACTATTTTAGCTACTGCTTGTCAGTCTACTGATATTTCAAAATAAAAGTTTAGAGACCCTAAATATCTGTTTTCTAAGACAGAGACTCCATAACAATAAATTTATTTGGATTCCAAACAGATATAAAAACACTTTCAATAGCAATCTCATGTACTCATTTAGGTTGAACACAGTAGAGAAACTCCAACCCCAGGTACCTATTAAGAGATGTTTATACTACACAGTATTGGCACATTAAGCTGTGGTGCTGGAACATGGCACCCCAAGTACTGTGTTTAAATGATGGATATATGATAGCCATTTTCACTGCTTCATTTCTCCAATGTGAAATTGCCACTTAGCTTTCATAAAGATTTTAATGAAAAAAATTAAGAACTTAATGAAATAGTCTGCAAACAAACCATCAGACTAGTTGGAATAACAGCCTATGGTAGGTCCACTATGTTAGCGTTATATAAGAAGGACTAAAAGCAAATAACTAAAATTATTTCTAAACTCCCATGAGATGCCGATTGGACAGCAAAATATAACCAAATTATTAATCCACCCCCTTTAGCTTCTAAATTGTCCCAAATTTTAGCTCTTTAGACTCAACTTTTTAAACAAAAGATCAGATTTTAAAAATGTGAAAATAGAAAGCAAACACTTAATAATTTGAGTTGTTTCAATGACAATTGAGAATGAAATAATGCAGATTATGCAATTAGGTTTCAGCCCGACCAACATACAAGAGAGGTTTCTTTTTATAAGCTGGGGAAGAAAATAAAAAAAAATTTCAAGAAATTAATTATGCTTTACTTACCTTTGACACATTAGTTTTTCTTCAGAAAATGTCTGCTACAATTTTCTTTATAGGACTCATTGACTTTCTGGAGACATCCTTTTTTTTCAACAGATACTTGTTTTTAGTGAGGAACACCCAAAACCAAGCAAACAAAAAGTGAGTGATTAAGTAAATGCTTTGCTGTAGATAACATCTCATTAAGAAAATGATAATATACCAGATATCAAGATCGTTTGGTGAATTAGTGTTATGAATATTATAAAACATATGTGAATTTATACATAGGATAAAGTAGAGTGTCAGAAAGCTAAATATTCCCACCAGGTAAATAATACATGTGAAGTTGGATAATGCAAACAAATTCTAAATATGCATAAAACATAACCAACTAAATACATATTTACTTAAGAGGCCCTGTAGAAATTTATACTAGATAATTCACTAATATTCATGTAATATTAGTATGGAACCTATTAAAGGGCATTTGGTCACACATACCAAACATGCAAAGACTATGAATGACTATTATATATGAGCTAATGTTAGTTTTTCACAATGGAATGTGAGAGCCCAAGATAGATAATTAGACATTATAGCAGGAGGAGGTGACTGGAGCATTGTCTTACCAAATAACTGATATTTATGTCAACATGATAAAGTTATGAGCACATTTGTGCTCACAGCCAAATAATTAGAATTTCAATCAATGTAGCAATCTTGGAGCTACCGATTAAAAAATTATTTGGGAGTAAGGCCGAAAGAACTATAATATGCACATAATGATACCTTCATTAAAGGAAACTTGCTTTCTTTCTTTCAAACACTGCATATGTAATTAAATTTAAAATTCATTGACTCATTCATTTAGTCATTCATTGAACGACAGTGAGCAAAATGATAGAAACCTCTGAACTTATAAGGAAAACAGTAAGACATATAATATGTACTGAACGTCAGGTAGAGAAAAATAAGGGAGGAGGAAAAGTGAAAAGCAGATAGTTTACAATTAAAATAGGGCATCAAGAGGGTTGACATTCAGTAGACAAAGAAGGACTAAGCCATGCAGACTTCTGGGGGAACAGTGCTCTGGGGACAGCGAATTCAAAGGCTTTCAGTGGGAAGAGGCCTGACATGCTTCAGGAAAGGCACACTGGCCACTGGTGCTGTGGGAGAATTGAGGAGACCCAGAGGTCCGAGGGGCAAAGGGAGGCCATGTGGTGTAGTGACTGGCGGACCACTTTAAAGACTTTAGCTTTCACCATGAAATGCGGGAGCACGTTATCGTCATGAAAAGTAGCAGATGAGAAGCAAGTCAGCTGGAGGGAAGGATTGCTGTGAGAGCTGCAGAACATGGCTGGTTACTCTGTTTTTCTTCTATTGGAAAGCTTGAGCAGAATTATTCTTATTGATCCCAAGCCCATTTTCATGTAAGTGAGTGAAAAAAGGAAAGCAGGGTCCAGTCGAGAGGCTTGAGTTCTGTTCCCAGCCAGGATGCTGATACGCGTCTCCTCCTTCCCTGCAGGCCCAGCATCCTCTGGCTCCTCCTTTATCTTTAGACAGCAGAATGGTAGGTGTGGGTGGACTTAATCTCCTTCCTCTTGTGGCTTTTTGGTATTTATTTTTTCAATTAATTAATTTTTAAGTTGACAAATAAAAATTGCATATATTTATCAGGCACAACATATTGTTTTGAAATATGTACACATTGTGGAATGGCTAAATCAAGCCAATTACCATATGTATGACCTCACATAATTATTTTTTGTGGTGAAAACAGTTAAAAAATCTCCTTTCTTACCATTTTTTGATATACCAAGGTAACGAATGCTGCTTATGCATCTTTAAATTTACATAGCACTACAATGCATTAATACCCAGTGAACTGCAAAAAATATATATATATATATATATATATATATATATATATATATATACACACACACACACTTACAGTGGTATTATTAGTCACCAAAATGGAGAGGGGAAACTACAATTGTGGGAATGTGCAAGTGTTCTAATTAAGGCAATATTAACCCAGATAAGCACTTAATACCTGTCCTCTCAAATTCTCAAATGCCTTACAGCTCTGGAATGCCCATTGTGAAACAAAACAGTGCACAGTATTTCCTAAATTCTCACACACACTTCATTTTCTGACTTGGCTGGGAAACGAGAAAATCTGGCCATGGGCAATGTGCCCTCCTTCCCTTGTCTGACCCAAACATAAAGCAGTTACATCTACTGGCAGGCTAGCTGTGGCCTTTGCCCTTTCCTCTAAAGTGCCCAGTTGAGGATTGACTTCAACAAGATCCAGTGCTGACAGCAACCCTGTACTATGTATTTCCCCAGTAATATAGATGCCTTCTTGAAAGGTCAGTCCCCCTACAATAGGGATTCCTGCAGCTGGAGCCAGTGTACAGTCAAATACATCAATATCAAAACTCAGATGGACAGACCTTTGTCTTTTGCCAATCAGCAGATCAAATTTCTGTTGCATGACCTCCTGGGTGCCAAATGGATTGATGTCTCTCACGGAAAAATACTAGATATCATTGTTCTTTTAAAAAAATGTTCCAGAGGGTCCATGTCTCCTAGATCAGAATACGCTATACTTGGGGAGGAGATACAAGGTTTGTCCAGGGAAATCCTGGAAGTTCTGGTACCTTTCCCTGTAGTTCTGTGAGGAGAAATGAAACTGATAGTCCATGGAGATTTCCTGATGAAGTGGTAAGGGGTGTACTGATGTCTTCTGGGCATCAACCCAAGTGACACAAAGGTCTGGGCAGTTCCAGGCATGACCACTAATGGTACTAATTGCCAGGCTGGGGTCTCCTCTCACCGTGACGCAGCTGTAGCCAGACAACACTGCTCTGCTAACCAACTCAGCCAGTTGCTGGTTGGCTGGGCCACTGAGCACAGATTCACTGTAGGGTTGTTGAAGAGCTCATCTGTGGGGACTGGAGTAAAACTAAACTTTTCAAAGTCTTTCAGGCAGCAGCCCAAATTGGAGACCCTTTTCATCAATCCAATTTTTCTTCTGGCAGCTGGACCATGTTCCACTCCTTTTCTTTTCTGTCCCTACAAGAACGGGGCTCCTATCACAACCAGACTTCTTCAGGATAGAATGCACTTGCGTCTGGAGGAGACAAGTTCCTTAGGGACTTGACTGGCAGTGTGGGGAATCACTGGGATAGAGGCAGAGCTCAGTGCAGCTGGAAGCTTCCAGTCTCAGCAATTTTCAAGAATACAATATATTGTTATTAACTATAGTGGCCATAATTTTTAAATTCTGACTTCCCACACACAAACACTAACAGACAGCAGGCAAATATACCAGGCAAGTCAAATTTCTCAACCCAGACACATTTAGCAGATTTTATTTTAATGAAACAGAATTTTTAAAGAGATTTTATACTTCATTAAAGTTGATTTACTATGCACTTTCGCTCCCTCTGCTGGTTGTGAAGACTGTGGAAAACCACAATACATTGCCCTGCCAGTAGACTTAGAGAGCAACCTGACATCGTGTAGCCTTGAATGGTTAATCTAGAGAAGGAATGAAGTCAAGCAAGCTGTACCACTGACACAGGGACATCTCACTCTCTGCCCTGGCCATGATGGAGCTGTGAGGGATCATGCACTGCAGCCCCTATTGTGCAGATGAGGAGGGTGAATTCCAGAGATTCGAGGCCTTCCTCAGCTCCAGATCCATGTGTAATTTAGGGCCCAGGGCCAGGACTCTTGTGTGTAACTTGGAGACATGTTCCTAGTGCTTGTAAACTTCACGGACAGAACTTCATGGATAAGTGAGATTGAGCTGTTACTGAAGAGTTAATGTAGCTTTAGATGCAGCACCCCTTTCTTGTGAGCTGATTGCAAGTGTCAGGTATCAACTGGTGGGAGGCGCTTATCTCAAATCCTTAACAGACAGAAAACGTTCATTTCTTCATGTGATAGAACAACAGTAAAATTCCAGCTTAAAGTTGTTACAGCTTACTTTCTGACCTCATTAAATGACTACTCTGCTTGGATTTTTAAAATGTGGTTTCATAAATTAAACACTGAGTCTTAAAACCTTCCTTGAGTTTTAATGCCTTTCCTTTGTGAAACCATGAGGGAATCCACCACCAACAAAGCATTTTTTCCCATGTTCCTGTGCGTGCCTGGTGTCACCTGGGGTCTATGCCAAGTCAAACAAAAGAAGTTTGGAAATAGTTTGTGAAGAAATTAACTTGTATACTTAAGTATATTTAAGTAGGTCAAACATCTCCTTCTCCCCCACATTCCATGACTAATGTCCCAAATAAAAGTATATTCATTTTACATGCACCACATTTCCCAGAAAAAAGCAGCAAATGCAAGACATTTATCTGTCAGGGTGAATGCACAAGGTTCTGCTCATTTTTGCAGGAGGCAGGGAGCTGGAGGAGCTGCTGTCACCATCCTCTGACTCTCAGATGACATAGGAGTTGTTTGGTGCAGATGTTAGAGGAGAACAAAATGCCTGGACCTTGTCTCTTGAGAATGCCGTGGCTATAGGACTGAAGAAGTTGGACTTGTAGTTTGGCCTTCCTCTTTGTATGACAGTTATTTATGCACTATTCTTTTTGCCTTTTTTGATTATAAGTTCATTAAAGGCTGATACAATGTCTTATTGCTTATAGCATCTAGCATGTACTAGTTGCTAAAAAGAGGTTTGTTAAATAAAGATTTATATGCTAGCTTCTGAATAAATGTTTGTTAAGTGAAAAACTTTTAAAAGGTAATTCATTTGTGACTTTTTCAAAGCATTTCCAAACTACTGCCTGGACACCATTCTCACTTAATGTGATGAATTAGAAAAGCATCCAAATTGTTTATCCCTTTAACAATATTTTTTATCAGTGAGTTGCAAAACTGTTTCTTAAAACGTATTTCTAGGTAAGTAATTTCTGAAAGGCTCCAACCATTAAGATTTAGTATGAGGGAGGAGGGATAGCATTAGGAGATATATCTAATGCTAAATGACGAGTTAATGGGTAGAGCACACCAACATGGCACATGTATAACTATGTAACAAACCTGCACATTGTGCACATGTACCCTAAAATTTAAAGTATAATTAAAAAAAAAGATTTAGTGTGTGATCATTATTAGTATAAATTTTTGAAAAGAAAAATCGATTTGCTACACATTTAACACTAAAGAACTAATATACACAATGTGTGGAGAGCTGTATGAAATTTTGAAGCAAATGTTAGATCTAATTCCTCTTAAAAGAAAGAATCATGTTTAATTGATAGAATACAGCACTTTCATGGTTCTCTAGCAAGTCAAAGGGCTTGTCCATTTTCTTGACATTGTATTTACTTAAATGAGTTTATCTAAAGGGAGAAAGCAAGGTTACAGGCAGCTTAGAACAATGTAGTAATTGTCACTAATTAAGTGCCCTCAGCTGTGTCTATACTGGGCCACTGTTTACTTGCTTTGTACATACTCAGCTGCAGGTAGCCACACTAAAAATTCCTCCACTTGTTATCACCCCTTGCTGTTTTAATTTTTATGTGGTGAAATATTGACAAACATGTCATGCTTGACTCTCACACTTTTTCTATGAATGGGTAAATTAAGGATACAACTATTATCTCTTATTCTGAATTTTCTATCTAGAAGGTAGTGCAGGGTAGATGGATGTTGGCACTTGCTCGTGAGCTGGACTGATTAAATGATTCTGAAAAATAGAAATTCAGAATGATTGTTCTTGGAATGGTGCTACACTAGTATCCATCCATCAACATACTCTCAAACATGCTCTTTATAACCATTACAAGCAATTCCCAAAGCTGGCTGGGAGTTCAGCAAAGTTAACCTTTGTAGACCTGACCCATGACTGGGATCTACAAAGCACCATGCTTGAACCACCATAGCTTTCAGCCATAGATAAGAGTTAATTTTTGCCACCTTGAACAGCATTCTCAAGCTTTCTTTGCCTTAGTTGCCATGTTTATAAAAAGATAATGAAAGACTAAACAAGTACTTCTCAAACTAACATGCACATGAATTTCCTGGGCATCATACTAAATTTAGATTTGGATTCAAAGGTCTGCAAAGAGAGTCCACATTTGTTCCCAGGTGCTCATCTAAGACTGCACATTGAGTGCTAAGGGGCTAGTTGATCTCTATTGAGCCCTCAGCCCTGATATTCTCTCATAAAGCCTTTGCTTGTGAAATATGCTTTATCCTAAATTATGTGATAATTCACTGATTTTTGATTATCATGCCATGAGGGTCTTATAATGTCAGTGAATAAGAATAATGAATGAAGGTATAAATTGAACCATTGGACTATTTTAGAGGTTTTAAAATTCCTAAGTGTACAATAATAATAACTGTACGAATTAGATGCCCAGACTGTGTGTTCATGATTTTATCATGAAATACTAAACAGCAAAAGTAGATGGCATGTTCTGTCCATTATTATTATCAGCACCACTTCAAAACTTTATAGGACCACATGAAATATCCATTAGTGCTAGCTATTTCATTTTCTTCAGTGTATATAAATACACAGCCTGAGAACAGAATGAACTTTCAAATACTTATTTGCAAAATATTACCTAGATTTTATTTTGATGCATTGTTTTTCTTCAAGATATCTCAGAATTCTGGGCACCTCCTTAACATTATCTTTACTTTTGCCTTCTGGCCACATTTCTCCCATCTACCACAATACCACTCCACCCCAAGACCAAATTAAGTAGAATCTTATGGTAAAGATATCTACTTCTGGTGTCTTTTTTATTTAATTCAATTGTACAGGTAGGTTTTTTCAAACAGCAGAAATACATTAAGAATTTAAAAGGCTCTATGTTCTCTTGTTTCTTGAGATGTTATTTTAGCATCTGCACTCAATTTCACAATCAGCTTGACTATTTCACATCTCTAGGGTTTTATAAATCTTGAACAGCATACCTCTTCATCACTTGGTTTCATTGCGCCAATTGCTAAGCAATAATATGCAAGATTTTAACAAAAATATTTATTTCACATTTTTCTTTAAGAGATTAAATGTAGTACAAGCAAGTATTTAAAAAACAGTGATTGTTTCAAATGTTGTTCAAAGCATAATGTGAAGGGCCAGAGTAAGGGTTTATGCAGATAATGCATTCATGATTGAACTATTTGTATATTAAATATGATGTTAGGTTATAAATTAACTTAAGCTCTTGAAATTTATAGACGAATTCAAAAATGTAAATCTGCTCAGAAAAGGCTATTTATCTCATTCGTTTGTATGGTAATTGAAGGTTCATAATGAAATAATCTGATGCACAGAGCCCAGCTAAATTAGCCTGCCCATAATGTACTATCTTGAAGTGACTTCACATTTTCATTAGAGCCTTTCTAATTTCTAAAGCAAAATTAATGCAATTAGTGATCAAATCAATACATATTGATCATGAGTTTCTTCAATATGGCATGAACATATTAGGTCAAAAAGAAAGGGCTTTTTAAGATCATAGAATAAATATAAGAAATTTAAGTTGTGAGTAAGACAGCTTTGTGCTACTTTCTATTGTAGCTACTATTTATAAGAAAGTGGCAATATTATTTTTATCATTGTTTGGATGAAATTCAACATAATGTGCTACATCCCTGTCCCTTCCCCCCAATGCATTAATAGGGTATTCATTGTCCATATGGATTTTTCTCTCCATAAATATCCAAAAGCAATTTTTTTTCCTCATGGTGCAGAATTTCAGATGACTAATTACTCAAAAGCATTTCTTTCTTTTCACATGCAAATGTAAGCAAGATTCCAGGGAGGAGCCCACCCCCTAAACCCTCAGCCCAGTAAATGTACCTTTGATGGAGTGGGCTGCGGTTAAATGTATGCAGGAAAGACTTGAAGCCCAGAATAAAAAATCAAAACGCATTTGTGGAAATCAACGGACTGTTGCTTTTCTACATACTAATCAGCTTATTTCACAGTGAAATAAAAAGATACTTCTAAGAGAGAGAGAGGAAAAAAGATCCAGTCCTAGAAGCACCCCTCCTCACCCCCAGCTAAATGGATTCTGAGATGTGGTTCAACTGGTGTCTATTCCTGAGGTGTGAGGGGAAACCATGATAAACTGTCTTAACTGCTCAGCTTCTTAAGAGCAGATCATGTAGATTCTGGGGGAAAATGTTGAGTAAACCCAAAAGAAAAGATCATATTGTTGAGTCAAGTCTGCCTTTGAGATCCTGCAAAAGCTAAGCTGAGGAGAGAGACCAAAGCCACAAGACTGTGGTTTGCAGTTAAGGCCAGCTAATTTGCTTTTCCGTCTTGAGGACATGTGAGGGCATGAGCTACTTTTCCTAACTCATATTTCATGACTGTATTTTAAGAAGCTTTATGGCATGTAAATAAATTCCCTTACTGTCTGTGATAAATTTCAATTGCTTTCTTTAAAAAAAGGTAATTAATTTAAAGTTTTTCTTGCAATTTTCACACCGTATGAACATAAATAAAGCTTTTCATGGTGTATAAATTTATAAACTGTAATGACTCAAAAGAATGGCAGTGACAGGTGTACATTCTGTTTTGTCTACAGACTGGTCCCCTTTACTTGAAAGTGATGTCACAGATTTTGAATTCAGACATTTATTCACTGATATGAAACTCTTCGGTGCTTCTGGTGAAGCAACCTGGTGGAACTGACTTAATATCATGACTAATCTCATAGTTTCTGAAATTAGCGCATCATTGATGAAAATAATAGATTTATATTTGTGAAACCATTTAAAAATTCTCCTGAGGGAGTTAGTATATGTGTTTACAGGTGTTTCTAGATTACTACTTAGAACGGTGTTGCCAAGCAATGCAGCATTCACTTGTCACTGGTCACATGTGATGCTTTGGCAAAAATGAATTCCATGGATAAATATAAAGTTGGGAAGACTGTTATTTTGTGGGAAATATACAATGTACATTAGCATAATGAGGCTCTCAGAAATCCTGCAAGAAAGATGACTATTTAACACCAGTTAGCTCAACATTTCCCAAATTGATTGAGTTATTCAATCTTTTGGTTTTCTTCTTCTAACATATCTACTTTGGGATACTCTGATTTTGATTTGGTGAGTGACAGGGAAATCATAAAGTCTGAATTCTGGGGATATGCTAAATGGCAATAACCACTTCACATTTGATTTTAGTCATCAGGAAAGAGCTGACAAATCCAGTTCATCAACATACTTCTCTCCCTGCCATTAAAGTATTGTTCCTTAGCCTGAGCTATTTCAATGAAATCAAACCACTAACACCGATAATAACTGATACTATTATCACCTATTTAAGAATCTCCTACTTCCTGGCTGGGCGCAGTGGCTCACACCTGAAATCCCATCACTTTCAGAGGCCAAGGTGGGAGGATTGCTTGAGGCCAGGAGTTTGAGACCAGCCTAGTCAACATGAGACCCTGTCCCTACAAAAAAAAAAAAAGAAAGAAAATCAGCCAGGCATGGTGGCACACACCTATGGTCCCAGTGTGCACCTATGGTCCCTTTTACTTGGGAAGCAGAGATGGGAGCGTTGCTTGAGCCCAGGAGGTCAGGGTTATAGTGAGCTGTGTTCAGAAACTGCACTTCATCCTGGGAGGCAGAGTGAGACTACATCTCCAAAAAATAAAAAATAAGAAATAAAAATCTCCCTCTTCCCAAGGAAAAACTAAAATAGCTCTTTCAAAAAAGTAAATAAACAAATAAATAATACATAGTCTTCATAAAGAAGACAGATAGCACAAGGAAGAAAAAATACTTGTAATAATCCCTTCATTGTAAATATCCTGATGCATATTTTTCTAGCCTTTTTATATGTATATAACCATTTACAAAACTGGATTTGGTATTTATTTCTCATAACCTATTTATTTTCACTCCATACATAGTGAACATATTTCCATGTCAATAAATCTATAACATCATTGCTTTTCATTGTATACATGTGCCATATATTTTAAAAGGCTAAAAAGATGGCAGCCTTTTAGTCACTAAAGATCGGTATGTTTAATGGCTTTGGTGTATTCTTGGTAGGTGTATGGCCGGGACAGGACCTGTGCAGGCATCACTGCTATGCTGAAGGGGTGGAGGGGGAAGGGAGGTCTGTTTTTCCTGGAGGTCAATCTCCTCTACAGAGAGAAATCAAGGGCCAAACAGAAGCTGAGGACGCTGCCTGCGTCGGCCAATCCCTTCTCCCTTCCTCCTCCCACAATTCATCTTCCCCAAACACCTTCTCCCCACTGAGTTGTCTTCCTGTAAGTGGGGGTCTTTCTGCAAGGTTGGGAGCTCTGATTTGGAGGTGATGTTTGCTGTAGAGATAGTCCCTGCTGGGTAGAACAACTGCTGCTCTCCCCCTCATGCTTCTTCTGGGCAGGATAGTCAGAACCTCTGCCCATCGGGACCTCTGTGGTGATTGGAGAGTCAGCCAAACTCACTAGGCAGCTAAAGATGCTCTATAGATGCCTCATGGCTAACATCTTTTCAGAGGGGCAGCTGAGTACCCTGAACTGTCCCCTGGTTTCTGGTCAAGCTATGGCAGCATGAGTTTTGCTACTATGGACCCTGATCTTACAATAGACTTAATAGAAGCTAAGGGTGGTGCTAATTTTTTTTTCATATTATATTTGAAATTATTCCTATGGACATGCTGTGCATACTTAGGCCAAAGGTTGCAAGAATGCCTGCCAAAAAATAGAGGCACATATAACTAGATTTTCTAAGGAAATGGAAACCACAATTCATTATCTTCTTCTAAGATTTCTTTGAAGGCCCCAGTCTGAGCTAAATGCTCCCTTATTTACATTTCCTGACTATTCTGCACATTCCTGTGACTTCTATCACCCTATAGTTGTTTGCCTGTCTGTCATTGCACAGGCACATGAGGACCTGAAGGATAAGCTGCTGTGTCTTACCAGATTTATTTATTTTTTAATTTTTAAAATCAAGCAGAGACCCTAGACACTAAGTGTGGAACCAAAAACTTGGGCTCTTTTTCCAGGTTGAGAAGTGGTTGAAAGCATGGACTCTGGAGTCCAACTGCCCAGGTTCAAGTCTCAGTTCTCTGTGACCTTGGGCAAGTTATTCAATCTCTCTGGGTTTCTTTATCTTAAAATGTGGATAACAGTAGTACTTGCTTCATAGGGCTATTCTGAGTAATAATGGGTTGATTTTTCTATAATGCATTTAGAATAATTCATGACATTTAGTAAGTATTATATGGCTATTAATTTAATTATAATTTGGTCATATCAAATTGCTTCCCAAGCCTCTTTTCCTCACAGGTATAAGTGAGATATATTGGCAGTGATTAGCACAGTGCCTGGGACATTGTGCTACAGGCTCAGTGGATACTTCCTGAGTCAGATTGATAATCCATCGTGTGAGCCTGTGAAGGTTCTAAATGGGGCAAGCATGAAGTACACTAAGGGTGTGCACTATAGCCACTTCTTGGGCCTGCTATGCTCCCTGTTTACCGCACATCTGTGGTGGCCATACAGTTAGCTAAGTTAAGTTATACTACTTCTGGTTGTTTTGTTGTTGTTTTTGTTTCTGTTTGACATGAAGGTAGATAAGAGTATGTATGCTTGTAATACTCATATTAAAATAGTAGGGAATGCCCAATCCTGTATTTCCTCAATGCTTCCACTCATGCGCATGACTTTGTATAGTGTAAATGAGAAAAAATATCATGGCTGAGTCTTCAGATTGGAGATTGGAAGGAGATCCATTTTTAATGGCATTGAAATAAGAAGTGAACCTAAATTCACCATTGCTTATTTATGGCTGTAGTTATTTCTCTCTAGTACATCCCAGAGGGTTACTTTCTGTTGTTAATTGGAACTTCTAAGCCATTTTTATTTACAAAGTGTTTTACAGTCATTGGTATTGATGACTTATAATTCCCCCATGAGTTAGGTGTCAGGATGAGGCATTGACACAGGCTCCACACTCAGGAAGCTGAGACGTGAGGGTGGATAAATCTGCCCCCTCCCACATGGCAGCCATGGGGTCCCGGTTTGCTTTGTTTTGGCTTGTCAGATTCATATTACCTTCTCCATGTGCATGATAGCAGTTACAATTGGATCCTGGATACAGGGTCTTTTGAGGAAGGACTGAAAGAGAGTGACACTGAATCCACTTAGCAATTTTTTCGTCTTTCTGTTCGCCATTAAAATGAGTTTTCCTTGCAACTGTATGTCTTTCGGCACACTTATTTTGTTTTTTTAAAGAAGGAAGACAAATAACTGCCTGTTTATTGTTAAATTTGTAGTGCCAGTCATGACAAGCATAAGGATAGTAACACTTTTGCCAGCAGGGTGCTTATCTGTTTTACTAGTTCAGAAGGACTTGATTGATGCGAAAGACTAAGGTCTCAGTAAAGACAATTTAGCCATTTCCATACAGTTTATGCTTGTGTTAGTTGTATCCTGCAGGGGAGTCCCCAGGGGTGGCTTCTTTGACCTTCCCTCTAAAAGGTAACACGTAGAGATTCCTAAAGGAACCATCGTCTAACAAGACTAATGATGACTCCCATGCCTATTATCATTCAGAGACAGAGAAGGAGGCTTTAGAAATGCAGTACCACATTCCTCCCTTGATGTTTCACATGATCTATTAAAGCGTTATGTGGCAGATAAATTAATCATTAAAAACTTACAGTTAAGTCTTTACAAATAATAACCAGGTGTACCTTGATTATCTTTGATCTCAATATATATATTTTCTGTCACTAAACAGATGATACATAGCAGTTTGTTTTACTGACAATGAGTTTGAGAGACTCAAGGAAAAAAAAGCTATTTGCCTCCAGCATTCTTTCTTTTTCTTTTCATTTCTTTCTTTCTTTTTTTCCATTTTTCAAGTTAGAAGAGCTAAAACGAAGTTCTTCATTCAGTAATAGCTCACGACAGCCATGATCACTTTTTCATCTTGCTTTGCTGGAGTGTGAGTATGAAGCATCTTCACTGTTTATTATTCCAGCTATCCTCCCATTTGATTTATTTCTCCCATTCACTGCTACTTAGTATTTAAAAGTTCCGACCAGGGGACATGCTCCACATCTTGTGTGCATTAGGTGCTCCATGATACACTGGATTCCACTTAATGCCATCCCTTTGGATTGAGGTGGATTTTTTTTTTTATTCTAATGTGCTTTTCGTCACATTAACCACTTCCAGGGCTAACATTTTCTACATTCCAAAAAGAAAAGAAAAAAGATGATAACATGAAATAGTGCAGTTGCAACAATCAGATAGATGCCAGACAAATGAAAATTCATGACAACACAAAGCATTTTGTACCATAAATGATTTCTTCATTCTCTGTTAAGAAAAATATTTAATGTTTTAATATACTACTGGTGAAACTTAGGTTAACAAAAATTGTTTGGGTAAGTGATAAATTCAGGAGCAGCACCAGGAATGTGGTGGTGGAAATAAATGCAACCAGAGAGAGAAAAGTACTCCTCAGCAGACAGTAGACTTCTTAAATTGAAAGAAGAAAAGAATGAAATATGGTTGAAATCTTTGTTTAAGTCTCAGATATTTACAATCTATCTACAGTCTACTCCATTAAGTAATGATGTGTTTTTATTATGTCGGTCTAGGAAGGTAACAACTTTAATTTGTCATTTCAAAATTAAATGTGTGATTTTCCTTTGTATTTTGCTCAATAGTATGACTGTGTTATACCTAGGTATTAAAATATGGGGATTACTTGGGAGCAGAAATCAAGATTATTTTTTCTGGTTTGTTGAATTCCTTATATGTAAAAAAAGTCTTTGTTCTGAGCAGTTGGTTATGATAATATGAATTTTTACTTTTTAAAAATTCTTCCTAAAAACAAAGTTCTTATTGAAAAGTATTAATCGGGGCCGGGTGCAGTGGCTCACGCCTGTAATCCCAGCACTTTGGGAGGCCGAGGCAGGTGGATCACGAGGTCAGGAGATCGAGACCATCCTGGCTAACACGGTGAAACCCCGTCTCTACTAAAAATACAAAAAATTAGCCGGGCGTGGTGGCTGGCGCCTGTAGTCCCAGTTACTCGGGAGGCTGAGGCAGGAGAATGGCGTGAACCCGGGAGGCGGAGCTTGCAGTGAGCAGAGATCGCGCCACTGCACTCCAGCCTGGGCGACTGATCGAGACTCTGTCTCAAAAAAAAAAAAAAAAAAGAAAAGTATTAATTGGAAACAAAGATAATTACATCTTCTTGAAATGCCAGTTATAACTAACTCACTCTAGAGCCAACACTATCTCAGGGTTGTTGACATAACTAATTTTTTTCTTTGAAAGAAAAATAATTCTTGGAGAAAGTAATAGCTATTATTAGTTATGATAATAGATAAAATGCATTAAGCATCTTTTACATGTCAACTGATTTAACTCCTTTTATTATCATGACATCATAGTCTAGTAGGCATTATTTTTCCCTGCTTGCAGATAAAACAAAAACAAAGGCAAAGAGAGATGAAGTAAATTTCCCCAGAACATATGGCTAGTAAGGGGTCAAGCAATGGTGGGTGGGATAATATATTTCCCCTGCTGAACCAATTACAAGATTTCAGTGATGTAAGTTTTTCTCTTTCCTTTCTTGGTAAGACTGACAGACCATCTAATGACACTTCAACATTGTATGATGCTGAAACCAAGGTCCAGAGATGTTAAGCAATTTGCCTGGAGTCACACAGCAAGTTAGTGGTGAATAGGGAAAGCTCCTCTGAACCCTCCTATGTTATCTGAATTGAGCCAGTTTGGCAGCCTACACTGGACAAGAGTAGGGCCAAGAGTGAATGGATTGTACTCAGAGAGCAGGAGAAAATGGGAATGGTTAAACAAAAATGACTGTCTCTTCAACTAAAAGTGTGACACATTTGGGAGTGGAATAAAGAGCATGAGTAAGGACCACTGCAGGCACATTTATGGGGCAACTGTTATTTCTCTTGGGTATGATCCTCACCTCCCACCACTACCTTCTTGTCCTTTTTTGCACTATCTGGTGACCTGAATTAAGATTAATTATGTTTCTGCTGTCTGAACTCCAGTATCCCTATAAAATCATTTACTTAAAAGTATTAGTGCTGTAATAATACCTTCCTGGAGATTTAAAGAAACTGATAAAATGAATATTGGATGCTGATCTTTTAAGCACTGTAGCATTTAGGGAGAGGAAATAATTTGACATAAGAGGAGTTTCCCAGCATTCTTCAATTCAGATTATGTAAAAACTAACGTTTATACCTATTTATAAATATGCCTGACCCTAAAAAGGTAATGCTTTTTTTAAAGAACATTTACAATATGAATAATATTACATATTTAGTTAAAGACTACCCACTTTTGAGGTGCCCCACAATGGTCTGATTTTTTTAAAACCCAACTCCATCTTAGACTGTTATCCATCTTCCCTTATTCAAATCCCTGAAGATAAAATGGAAGCGTGGAGAAGTTATTTTCCAATAGTAAAATCAAGGCAAACATGGAACCTTTCTAATTCCCATTTGCATGACCAATTATGCTGATTTATTTATTATTAGATTTTATGGATAAGAGTAGATGCTGGGAATATGTAACTCTCAGACTTCAGACTATGCAATCACTTTGAGTTCTTAGACTTCCGGACCAGTTTGACTAAACTCTATTTTTCTAAGTTATTTTTCCTCTAAATAAGTGGGTCTTCACGAGGAGAACACAGACTTGTAAGCAAAATTTTTATATCCCTTCCTATTTTCCCTAAATTAAGCAAAGAGAAAAATGGAGGATTTCTACCCCAAAAGGGAAGTAATTTATCCCTACCACAGGAATAAGATTGCCATATTTAGCAAAGAAAAATATAGGACACCCATTTACATTTGAATTTTAGATAAAGAATGAATAATTTTTTAGTATAAGAATGTCGTATGAAATATTTGGGTGTCCTGTATTTTAACTGGCAATTCTACCTAAGAAGGACTCAATCCACTTCCCTTAGAAAAGAGGTGTCAGCATTGTTCCAGCAACCTGTGGGTCCCTGTGGAAACTGTTGCCTCATCAGGATAGTAGAAGAACATCACTTTTGCCAGCAGCTCTTGGTATATGCGGTAATAGCAGCACTGTCCCAGTGTTTGTCCTGTTGTCTTGAGCTTCACTGGAGACATGGCCTTTGGGTCTTTTTTGTTTATGGTGTCAAATTGGTGTAGGAAATACGGCCATGTGTTCTGGAACTGGACCACTGAGGAAGAGGTAATCCTTTTATATTATGTTGATGGAAGCCACTCATATTTTAAGCATGGCATTAATGACTATTTCAAATTGCTGCATTGTAATCCAGTTACATTAGCTGGATTATATTTAAGGCCTGCTGGCTTCATCTAATTTAAGGCGGAGTTCAATGACCAAATAAATAAGTTTTATAACAAAGAGACATTTGTTTTAGGGCCCCCTGCATAGTATCCCAAAAGAGACTTTCCTAAGTATCCTTCTATGGCAATCAAGGTAAAATTATTTGTCCTTTCTCAGTCTTGGCTTTCTTACCACCTTTATATGAAGTATAGGTATAGTGATGCCTGTTGGAGGACTAAGATTTAACTGAATGATATTATAACTAGAGCTATAATGATAGTATAAACTATAATTGTTTAGCAAGTAGTCGAATTAAAGTTGGTGCTGATATTTTTAAAATGGTAAAGCAGTTCCGAGAATAATAATTTTATTCCCAACCCTGGCTATCTGTGATTATTTTAAAATGTAACCTAGAAAAAGGCACAAGCCATTTATAATATTTCAAATGTGAAAAGTGAAAAAAAAAACCCAAAACATCACCTTCATTTATTATTTTAAAAATATGGTGAGTTATTTTAGCCAAGAAGAAATGAACACAGATTGTGATGAACATGCTTAACATGTACTTTGAATAAGAAAATCAATACATTAAATGACATGTTAGAAGCGTTAAACAAAGGAGAAAAGCCAAAGAACTATATTGAAAGGCATGTTTTCCAGCATAGCTGTTTTCAATTGCTAAACGTTCTTCTCCTGTAGCATATGAAGGGCGCCTAGTGACCTCCAGCTGAGGAATCCATATAGCTCTGCACCCTTCCCCCACCTGACAGACAGCTGATGTCCTAGGCGTGCCTCTGCCCCTGCACTCTATTAACTCTTGGGATAGAGCAGCTCTTTATGCAGCAAAGCACAGTTCCAGCAGTCTATGTCTTTCGTGTGTTTTAACAATCAAAACTCACTTCTCTCTCTCTCTAATGATTTGTTTCTCTCTAGTACTTATATCCAAAAGGAAGATGCTCACAGTCATAAAGTGGTCCATAGCCTCTAACAACACAGTGGTGAGGCATGCATTGCTCCCTGGAAATCAAGTGCACTGTAAGTCATGGCCTGGAAAACTGACCCAGTGTGTACCTGCAGCTTTTCCACCAGTGGCTTCCCACATGGCCATTGTTCTCTTAATTTGTTAGAAATTAAGACAAGTATCTATATGGAAATGGCTTTTTTTTAATCTTGCAAGAAAATGCATAAAAATGGATATTTTTAGATGAGGGACTATAGCTGATTATTTTAACTGTATTTCCAAAATTTTTAAAAATGTGCTTAAATAAACAAATATGACTTTTGTAGGTAAAATAATTGAGCAAACTTTATCTAACAAAGAAAAAGGAATTTTGATGTTTTTATAATTTGAGTCCTTGCCTTTCAGTACATTTCAGGAGTTCAGTAAAATCTGAGTTTATGTCTTAATCTATTACCAAAGTCTAAGGAAAGCAGGACTCAGGGCCATCACTGGGAAAAGCTGAAGCTGAAATGTCCTGAAGATATCTCACTGTTACTTTTGAGAGCTTTCATGGTACAATCAACTCAGTCACGTTACTGTATAGCAGTGGTTTCTATACTTCAGAGAACTAAAGAAGGAGACTACAGCTTAAGTTGTAGAAGCCCTCTACCCTTGAAGCCCTGAATGTAGGATGCAAATGGACATGCATCTTGAATTAAGGGAATAGTGTTTGGCTCTAACCTACCTGGGCTGGGCTGGCATATAGCAAATCATGCAGCAGCTGAAAGCAATGTAAAAGTTACTTTAGAGCCTACAAAAATGGATTGCGTAAATGAAATGCAAAATGATCCACGGTGATGGATTGTCTGAATATGTATGTATCCATTCTCCTTTTCTTCTTCAGTACTGTGGAATCTCTCTGGTGAGGTCAGGGACCACATGTATTTTGTGTAATTTCCCCTAGAAGTGCCTGACACATAGTAGGCACTCACTGAATTTCTCTTGAATGAGTGAGCTGTGAGGCTGACTCAAAATTAAAGCATCAGATATGATCAGAAGCTGATTAAATGAGCAAGCACACACTATGACCTCTAGCACAATGCCCAGGACAAGAGCAGGTGGGCACACAGCAAGTGCTAGATGATGTCTTCCTATAGACCTTGGTATTTTCTGCTTTCTATAAAGTTGTGTACTTTAGTATACAGGGATGATTTACCAAATGGCAACATTTCTGCCTTTGTGGATATTAATAAGTAATTGTTTTAAGAAATAAATTTTTTAAAGATTCTAGAATCAAATAAGATTGGGGAATGCTGATTACACTATTCCACCATTAGAATTTTTCTACTTAACTAAATATTTGAGAAGTACGACAGTAAAGCAACTTGCTTAACCTCTTTGAAAACATGTTTCTATCTTTATGAAGGTTTTGTATACACAATAGTTCTACAATATGTGTTATGAAAAATAGCAATCCTTCACCCCAGTTTCTCATTTCCTTCTTCCCCAAGGCACTGATTGATTCTGTTGTCATTTATTTCAATGCCTCTAAGTAGCCTTAAACAATTGCTTACACTCCCTTTTTTTTTGTTTTAGGCACTATATATTGACTTCCGACAATGAAAGTATTTGGAGAAGGGCTCAGACAGTGTCACAAGCCTCAAGCAGTGCAGGCTAGAACTCACAGGCAAAAGAACGGGCAGAATACATGGAGACCCCAGCCTGCAGACCCTCGGCATCACATAGAGAGGTGTACTTGGGCCAGGTTTGTACTCTAGGAGAGGAATGCCTCTGTAGTCTCTGTTGCTTTCTTTGCATATGGGGTTGGGGAAGGCAGGCAATGTGACAATAGGGCTTTTACATACATAAAAGTGGTGTTGCCAGTGGAGACCAACACCTTGCAGCTTGATACCAGCTGCCTAGGGGAGTGGCAAACCAGTTCTGATAGACCCTGTAGGGAGAGGAGCGCTGGTCCCATTGACTTGTTGCCAGGCAACCAGAGAAGAGAAGTGCTGGCTCACTAGTGGGCAATCCTATAGGACTGTTTCACTCTACTGCCCCCACTTCCAATGCCCTATCCTCCTAGTAGAGTTTTTTTTTTTAATACGTTTGATTAGATTAGTATTCAGTTGCTCAATATCATGACCACTTAAAATGCTATTCATGGTTGAACCATATAGTATCCTTTGATTAATTTCTCTTTCAGTACAACTTTTTATTTTCCCTGGAATTATTTTATTGTTTTATGTTTGCAAAGTTCTCTATGTACCTGTCACTAATTTATACACAAACTCTCTCTCAGTCATATGGATCTCTTCTTAATATGTTCAAACACATTAAGCATTCCTGCAGTTTTATTTTCCTGAAATACCTTTTCCAGAGTCTTCAGACCTGCTCTGTCTGAATATCTTTTTTTTTTTTGCCCTCAATGCCTGTTGCACACTTGTACTCTGGTTTCTCACTGTTGAAGTGTCCTCTCTTGGTACCCTGCCCAGATCCCCTTATAGGGTTGGGGCACATGCCCTCCCACTGATGTGAACGCTAATGCCTCAAAGATGCCCTCTTCTTCAGGAATGACTTTCAGCCCAATGAGAGTAACCTCAACCAGAAGGTTACACCTTTCTCACTGGGACCTCTCCACAGTCAATGGTGGATTGACACAAAAATACAAAAGTTGGGTCTCCTTGCCTCTAGGTGGTACCATCTCTGTGGTGCAATTTATGCCCCAAAGCTCCCTGTGGGACCAGGCTGAGATACCCTCCAGCTGAGTTGACATCTTTGCTTGCTTCCTTCCCCTTTCCTATTCTGCTCCCCACTGTCTCTCTCTCTCTCTCTGCTGAAAGTGATCCCTCTGTAAATAACAAGCACATGAATTCCTAATTCAGTCTCTGCTTCTAGGATACTTGACCTAAGACAACCACGACCCTAAGGTTTATTTTCACAACTTTTGAGTTGACTCTCTTTTTCTGGATCTAGGTCTTTCTCTTTCTTGGTGTATTTTCCTGGGTAAAAGACACTTTTTGTTAACTTCCTGAGCATGTGGGAAATTAAGTTTTTATTTAGTAAATGACATAAAACATTTTCATTCTACTCTCACACGGGATAAATCATTTTACTTTGTGTAGAATTTTATATTGGAAATAATTTTGCATCAGAATTTTGGAGATAGGACTTCATTACTTCAAGCGTTCATTGCTATTGTTGAGAAGTCTGGTGAATTTCTGACTCCTGAACTTTGTGTTATCTTTTTTTTCCCTTCAGTGTACATTCTTAGGGTCTGTTTTCTTCTCTAGTGTTCTGAAATTTCTCAGTGATATGGATTGATATGAGTCTATTTTGATTTATTGCATTGAGTACAAAATGGGCTTGAATCGGCAACTTACGTACTTCAATTCTGGGAAATTTTAAGAAATTATTTATTTGAAGACTTTCCACCCTTAGTTTTGTCTGTTCTCTGTTTTTATAATCCCTATTATTTGGATGTTGGAATTCTTGAATTAATTATTTTTAAAAATATTTTTCTCTTATTTATCATTAATTTGTGTTTTTCTCTACTTTATGGAAGATATTTTTCAATTTTATTCTCTAATCCTCTCTGAATTTTTCATTTCTGTAAGCATATTTTTAACCTTTAACAACTCACAAAATTTATATATATATATATATATATATTGAGATGGAGTTTTGCTCTTGTTGTTCAGGCTGGAGTGCAACGGTGCGATGTCAGCTCACTGCAATCTCCGCCTGCCAGGTTCAAACAATTCTCCTACCTCAACCTTCTGAGTAGCTGGGATTACACGTACCCGCCACCATGCCCAGCTAATTTTTGTATTTTTAGTATAGACAGGGTTTCACCATGTTGGCCAGACTGGTCTCGAACTCCTGACCTCGTGCTCCACCCGCCTCGGCCTCCCAAAGTGCTGGGATTACAGGCGTGATCCACCATGCCCAGACTAAAATCATTTTTGTTTGCTTGTTTGTTTTTGTTTTTTAAAAAAGGAAAAAAATGAACAACCCTCCTCCACAAAAATTTATATAGCTTTTTAAAACCAATAATTTTCTCAGTTCTATTTTTATGGTGTCTTTATCTTGTTTCACAGACTCAATATTTTATCTTATTTATTTAAAGATTTAATAATTCTTGGATTTTTTTTCTTGCATAGTTTCTATTTTCTCCAAGTTGCTTTCTTGCTGTTATCTCTTTTATAAAAGATACTCTTTTCTGTTGTTATCATTACAGTTGGTGTGGTCTCTGTCCTTATGATAGTTCAAGAATCCCTCAGATTTTTGGTAATTCTTGGTTGACTTCTTAACTTTAAGAGTGAGGTGCTGAAAAGCTGTTTGTTAATTCCATGTGCTTGGCCAGAGTTCTTCAACTATATGCCTCTTTGTACAGTTATTAGGCTATGCTGTTTCATGTGGGAGACATCTTACATTATTGTACTGGTTAAAATGTGTGTTCAGTTTTGGGTAACAGAGAATTGAAAGAAGAGAAGCTTAAACAAGAAAGACACTTATTTCCATTCAATGTAAATCTGGGTTAGTAGAGTGCTATAGAGTGTCCAGGATTCAGACATCTTCTGTCTTGCTGCTCCACAGTCTCTAGGATGTTTCTGTGCATTCTGTGTTCCAAGAAGCCTTGGCATCATGTCTACATTCTAGCTAATAAGAAGAAGGAAGGAAGGATATATATATCCCACCTTTTGAAGTTATACATACAGCATTTGCTTACATCCCATTGGCTAGAAATATTGGCCACATCTCATGGCAAGGGAGGTTGGGAAATTTGTCCATTTTTTTTTACAATATGCATATAGCCATATGCTTAATAAAAAATTATATTATTATGGAAGAAGGGAAAATTAGATATTGGGAGACACCTAGAAAACTCTGCCAGTCATGCCTTTAGGGGATTTCTCTCAGTCTGGTTACATCCCCCAGAAAATATTCTTCCAAAACCCTGCCTGGAAAGCTCAGAATTCTGAGAATTAAATGGGACACAAAAGCTGAGTTAGTGGTAGTGCTAGTAGTGGGGACTGTGTTTCATTGTTTAGTTGTATACTTTTACTTCATGATGCCACGTGTTCTCTAGTCCAAAGACCAGCTCTCCAGAAATAACTCAGTTTTCTGTTGGGAGTGGAGAGCAAGTTGATTGAAATGTTGAACAGTGATGTTTCTGGAGTCGGGAGGAGGTCTGGGAGTCTAATATCCAACCAGTCCTTGTGTTTTCAGTCCATCCTAGTTCCAGAAGTAGTTGCCCCTAATTCCTAAGGACAGTAGAAATTGGATTGCTTCTCAGAGTTTCCCACTCCTTGACTTGGGATTCCATTTTTTTTTAAGTCTCCTAAGTGATTAACCATTCATCCATCTGCATTATAGCTTCCAGTATTTTGTTTTTGTTGGCTCCTCACCAGTTCTATTAATCCTGTTGAGTTATGATTTTTTAAAAATCCTCTTGCATTTGTTTTAGTGAGAAGGAATGGAGACAAATTAATAGGTTCAACCCATCATCTTTAATTCAAACTCTGAACTGTTTTTTAATACTTTTTGCTTTAGCATCTCACTTCTTTTATTGTTGAAACACATTTCCAATGGAAAATACAATATTGATAGGATCATGATGGTGATGATAATAATAGCCAAATGCACTTAGTTCTTACTTTTTTGTTGTTTTGTATAAATTTAAGGGATATGAATGCAATTGTTACATGCATATATTGGTGAAGTCTTGGCTTTTAGTGTATCCATCACCCAAATAACATACACTGTATCCAGTAAGTAATGACTCATCACTATCCTCTCTTCCACCCTTCTAGTTCTCCAATGTCTATTATTCCACACTCTATGTTTACGTGTACACCTTATTTCGCTCCCACTTACAAGTGAGAATATGTAGCATTTGGCTTTCTGTTTCTGAATTGTTTCACTTAAGATAATGGCCTCCAGTTTCAGCCACATTGCTGCAAAAGACATGATATAGTTCTTTTTTATGGCTAAATAGTATTCCATTGTGTATAGATACTACCTTTTCTTTATCCAATCATTTAGTGATTGACACTTAGGCTGATTCCACATCTTTGTTATTATGATAGTGCTGCAATAAGTATACTGGGGTTTTTTTTGTTAATTTTTAGGCACACCATTTATATGTGCTCTTAGATCCAGGCACATGAGGCTCTTACACAAAGCCCCAAACTCAAGGGGTCTTGTACTTTGGGAATGCCTACTTTAACAATTTCTGTGGTGGTTACTTTTTATGTGTCAACTTGACTGGGTTAGGGGATGCCCAGTAAAACCTAATTTCTGGGTATGTCTATGAGGGTGTTTCTGGAAGACATTAGCATTTGAATCAGCAGACTGAGTAAAGAAAATCCACCCTCACCAATGTGGGCAGGCATCATCCAATCCATTGAGGGCCCAGGTAGAACAAAATGGTTGAGGAATAGCAAATTAATTCTCTCTTCTGGAGCTGAGATATCCATCTTCTTCTGCTTTTGGACATCAGCACTCCCCCAGTTCTCAGGCCTTTAACTTCAAACTGAGAGTTATACCATTGGTTCCTCTGGTTATCAGGCCCTTGAACAAAGGCAAAATCATGCTTTCCTGGTTCTTTGGCTTGCAGATGGCACATCATGGAACTTCTTGGCCTCAATAATCAGGTGAGCCAATTGCCATATTATATTATCTTATTCTATCTATCTATCTATCTATCTATCTATCTATCTATCTTTCTATCTATCTATCTATCTATCTATCTATCTATCTATCTATCTATCTATCCTATTGGTTCTGTTTCTCTAGAAAACCCTGTCTAACATAATTTCTTTTCTTTTCTTTTTTTCTTTTCTTGAGATGGAGTCTTGCTCTGTCTCCCAGGCTGAAGTGCAGTGGCGTGATCTTGGCTCACTGCAACCTCTGCCTCCCAGGTTCAAGCAATTCTCCTGCCTCAGCCTCCTGAGTAGCTGGGACCACAGGCAAGTGCCACCATACCTGGCTAAGGCTAATATAGTTATAAGGCCTTCTGTGGGGCTTGGGATTAACCAGGGCTGGCAATGCCACCCAGACAGAGTACTCCAAGCCCTAATTAGAACCATATAGGCCCTGGTTCTTGTTTCTTTTCTTTAGGGTACTCTCTGACCTCTACTCCTTGTGTGGTATTGACCAGATGCCTTGGGAAGCTCTAAAACTCATATCAGTCATCCCAAGGCCTGGTAGCCAGCCTGGTTCCAGTGGTCCACCCTGATAAACTGAGCCCTCCCACTGTCTGACGCAGAATTCTTTCACAAAAGCATGTGAGATTGGGTTATAAGAATGAGGCTCACGTGCTTATTTTGGGTGACTCTCACTCAGTCAGAATAAGGATGAAGTCTTTTATACTGCTTGGGGAATGCACAAATACGTAAGTTCCTTTTCTCTACCATAATTAAATCTTCATCGACAAATCACTGGATCTCATTTGGCCCTGTGAAGATTCTTCATCCTGTGTCTAATTGAACAAGAGTCACCCCAAATGCAAGTCTTACCTAAGTTATACCAGAAAATGTGAAGACATTCACTTTGTGACTATGTTAAACTTACCATTTGGAAATTGATAGTGTCAAAGTAGATTAACGTATCTTTCAACTATGTCTCCTCTCAAATGCTTTAGGATGCAATCACTGCATTCCTAGAAAGTAATCTATCTCAGTATCAGCTGCACCTCTGACTTTACACACTGCTATCAGCAGTAGGAGGGCGCCTGTGGGCAGTGAGTAAAGTGGTTCCTATACACATATGTAGGACTATGCTGGTGATTTTAGCTGGTTCTGATCATTGGGTGCCTTGTTCTGCCCCAGTCTTCATATATTTTGAATATCAACCCTTTTTACTTCATTTAACTTTGTTTTATTGTGCTTATTGCACTGATATAACTGAAAGTTAAATTGATAAAGTCCTTTGCCTAAATTTGCAAGCTGAGAAGTAAATGGCAGAGCAGGAGTGTTGTCCAAAGGCTATCTCATTCTAGAATTTGTTTCCCAGACTATCGCATCTCAGATTGGAAAACTCTGATGCAGAGTTTAGGCATTCCTCCCTATACCCCATGAACCCATTGCACTTTTTAGTACTCTCTACCCTAATTAAAGTAGTTAGATTATTGTACTATACTTGTATTATAAATATTCTGGTAACTTCATGTAGCTGCAGTGTCTAAAAGAATAAAATGAAATGGTAAAAGGCTTAGAGTGTGGAGCAGTAAAAAAGTTTTTAGGCTTTTATTCACACCAAACTGAACACAAACTTCAGGAAGTTACTTCAGCTTTCTAAGTGTTGATTTCCTCATCTGTAAGAGGAGAATACTTATAGCTATTTTGGTAATTAGTTGAGGGTATTAAATACGATTACATAGATAAACCATAGTGACTATACATAGAAGGTACTAAATGAACGTATCTTGTTTTTCCCCAGGTCCCAACACACACATTTAAGCCTATGGATAATTCTGGTGTACAGCTCTCTCTAGGGAGAACAAACTCTGTCAACATATATCCTTGAGTCCTATCAGAGATATAAAAGAAAGAATCAGGCACATAAATAAATGTATGTTGCAGATTCTTATCTTTGATTACTTAATTTTGCAAAATAGTTTAATCTCATGATAGACAATTTTATAGAAAAATTTGTTTAGTATAACCTAGGCTTCAGTAACTATTTTTTAGTTTTCGGGGCTTGGAACGAGCCGAAAATACATATCACAAAATACTTGTTAAAATGAGCTCAACACTTTACAAAAAGGAAAGCAAAAGCAAAAAGGATGAATTTTTTAAATGCATATAATTTTGTAGATCCACTTTTGGGAATCTTTTGAACATGAAAAACACAGTGAGGGCAAAAGTTATTTTTTATGGTAAGTTGGTGAGTTTGCAAAAGTGAAGTTGGAGAGGTTTTTGACATCCAAGAGCCAAGATTTGTAGACAGCAGCTGGCTAGTATTATCCTCACATTTCCAAGCACGATAGACATGTAGGAATGAGGTAGTTTCTGAATACTAATCTTGGGAGAAAACCAACCAAAAATTCTGCTGCTCATCATTGTTATCTGAATTGTCTTTTTCCCTTTCCTGCCACTGCTTTCCATTTGCAGGACATACTATCCTGGTCACTAGGCCTATGGGAGAGGTTTTGCACATTCATGCCCCACCTGCTTTCCACACTGGATGTGAAGGTCGATTCTTCATGGAGCTCTTTGCCATGTGTGGAGAGGACAGAGTGATAGCTGTGTGATCCCATCTGGGAAAACTGTTGCTGAATGTTTACTTTATGAAAAATAGCCTTGTAGTGTTGGATGGTAAAAACTGGCAGAGACCATTTTTGGCTATTCAGAGAACTAAATTACATGAAGTCTTAGCCCTTTTCCATGGGAAAAAAAAAAACTGCACATTTATATTTTTTAATAACGCTTCTCCATTCTTAGAATGGAAGCCTTCACAGAAGTCATGGCCACCCTACTCCACCCCTAGAGGTAAAGGCATTCACATATTCATATTCAGGATGATTAAATCCCAACTTTTATACATTTTCTCATTAATCATTTCATAAAGGAAATACAAAATTGAACATTAAAATCTTACTGACAAGATGCTGGTTACTAGCTGTGCATCCCTTGAAAAAAATAGAAATTAAATTATAAATCAAGTCAACTTTTAAAGTCACAATGGAATCATACATATTTGAAATGTATGCACAAGCTCAATAGACTCTGCCCATAATATTGTCTAGCAAAGATAAGAATCAGAGAAAAAACTGAAAACTGTTTATTGTGTGCAGTCGCTGAACACATATATACCTCCAAACAGGATGGCAGATGTGGAACAGCTGCTCATTATCCATATTGGAAGAGGGAATCTATCTTTGAAATTATTTATAACCTGCTTCATGATTAGGTCTACTATTTTTCTTTGGGGTAAATAAAATTAAGCATTCATGGACACAATTTTAAAATATATGTTATTTGCAACAAAAACACTCACTTATATCAGATTATCAAAATGCTTCACACTTTAATCATAGCCATATTCATGAAGGTCCTATTACACACAGTAATGATAGCAAACACTTACCAAATGCTTACCATACGTATCAGGCTTCACTCTAAACATTTTAAACTCATTTGATCCTCACAACTACTTTAAGAGAAAGGTGCTATTCTCATTCTTGTTTTACAAATTTTAGGAAGGTCATTAACTTGCCCAACATCACATAGCTAATAAATGGTGTTGCCAGGATTCAAATACCAGCATTCTGACTCCAGAATCTGCATTTGGCTAAACTGTCACATTGTATACTATTGTTCATAAAAAAAATGTAGACTATTTCAAGTTTTTATGTTATGTAGTGTGAGAAAACTGTTACCTTGGGAGAGAAACTTTCCAAGCAACAGTATTACCAGTCAGGATAGGCTTGGCTAAACTATGGCAATAAAATGACACAATAACATTACATGTCCAAGGTGGGTCTGTACCTCAGGTATTTTTTTTTTTTTTGGCAGAAGAGAGGACATGAAAGTGGCATATCAATTCTTAAAAAATGCCTTAGCACAGAAGTCTCACATTTCACTTCCACTCATGTTTCATTGGATGAAAATAGTCAATTGGCCTCGCCTAACCACAAGGCTCTTGGGAAATGTGAGCAAAGAGTAGACAGATTAGAAAAAGGCAGTTGAGGCCAAAGAAGAATAAAAAGGTTGTAAGGAAGCATTTAGCTGCTCTAAATGTATATGTCACAAACTCTTAGATTACAGGAATTTAGTAGACATGGTATGTCCAAACTTCAAGAAAACATTTGCCAACAGTGTCAAGTAGACTGATAGAGAGACAATGATTGGAAAGCATTGTAGTTAAAGAACAAGGATAGCCTTTGGGGAGGTCAGCTGGACACTTAACAGCCCCTTACAGGGGCCTTGGCCTGATCGTCAGCTCTTATGTCCAGAAACACCAGATGGCTGGCACGTCTGAAAGTATAGGTCTCCCAAAGACAGACTAAGTATAATCCTACTGATAAGTGTAATGTTTAGATCAGATTACCAATATTATTAATTTATAATGAGAATGATAAAGGTGGAGCAGTCTTCTTATTTCAACTGACATAAATTTTGTATGTGTGGAATCAATTTATAGGAAGTCAAGAAATATATGACAAAAGCAAAAAGAGTGAGCTAGATTATTTGAATTATAATTGGCTTGAAGCTAGAACCCTTCACTATGCCAGACTACAAAGGTAGGTCCATGTGTAAGCACTGGTGAGAATGACATCTCAAACTCAGCCAAGCCTATTTTCACTTGATCTGCTTGTCACTTCAGCTAGCAAGCAGAGCAAAGGTCTTGTAGGCTGAAATGGATCAGCTGAATCTAACACTGAGAGACCTATTGGTTGTATATTCCAGATCCTTTACCTGGGCTCCAGACTTCGACTACACAAAGGCAGAGCAGGGATATATGGAGATTATAAATGCTCGCTGGTATGTGTTTGCTCTTTTATATTTTCCAGGCTCTCTTGCAGTTAAGTTTGCCATTCACTGGTTCTGACAGTGGAATGTGAGTGGAAGTGACATGTGTCACTTCTGAGATGAGGTGGTTAAAGATCAGGTGTGCCTTTCTCCATGTTCTCTTCCTCCTTTCTGCCAGCAGGATGATACCAGGAGACTGTGAAGTGGTGAGATGGTGAAGCCACAAGTTTAAAGCAGTGTGATTCCTCAG
Source organism: Homo sapiens (assembly GCF_000001405.40). Classification (NCBI taxonomy): domain Eukaryota; kingdom Metazoa; phylum Chordata; class Mammalia; order Primates; family Hominidae; genus Homo; species Homo sapiens. Next base: position 100,151,315 of record NC_000006.12, on the reverse strand, counting down.
TCACCTCTTTGAAGTGAACAACTTAAATCTCATCAGACTGGGATGTGAGCAAGAATAAGTCTTGATTCTATCAAGCCATTAAGATCTTGAAGTTGTTTGTTTACTTCTGAAATATGTTTAAGGATTTTAGTTGGCAGTAAATTTACATGGATCAACTAGAAAGATGCTTTCTATCCTTGACTTCTCAGCAATATTTAACTACAAGCCCCCTTTCCTAATAGAAACATTCAATTCCTTTTGCTTCTGTGGCCCAGCATCCTCCAGGTTTTCCTCCTGTCCTGCTAGCTGCTCCTTTCTCTGCCTTTCTTTGTGTCCTCTTCCAAAGGACTATTAATTGTTGAGTTTCTTTTGGTTCAGTCTTCTGGCCTTTCCTCTTTTCATTTTTTTTTTCATGTGATTTGGATTACCATCTATATGCGAGAAGACTCGGAAATTTATATCACTACCTTAAATGTTCTTCTGCACTCCACACACATAATCCAACTTCCTAATTGATATTTTCTCATGGACTTTTCAATGACTCTTCATACAAACCTGCACTCAGAATTTTTCTTTCCAAATCTGGCCCTCTTCAATGTTTCCCACCTCAGGGAATGGCACACCACCTATCCAGTCACATGAGACAGAAACCAAAAGTCCAGCAATCCTTCCTCACCCCTGTCCACTCTTCTCCCACCTTAGCTGATCCATTACCAAGTCTTATCAATTTCCCTCCTAAATATTTATCAAATGCATTCTCTCCCTGCTGGCTCCACCAACGATCCTGCCATTATCTCTTACCCAAGCTCCTGCAATAGCCTTTTTACTAATCTGTGTGCATATGCTCTGGTGTCTCTTCAATCCTGATCCACTCTTCATAGTAATATTTAAAAATTAAAAACTTGTCTCTTTCCTATTTAAAGTTCCTCAATAGTTTTTCCATTTGTTGTGTTAGGCTAATGATAAAACATGATTTTGACGATCCTGCACATTCTGGCGCCTTCTACCTCTCTGGCTCACCTCACCTCCTGCAGACTCCATGGTTCTTTGCTCCATTCATACTGGACTTCCTTCCATCCCTCAAACTTTCATCAGGTTTTCTCCTGTGACTCCCACTGCACATGTCCTGACACACTTCTTTCTCTTCTTAACCTATCAAGTCTACCTTTCCTTCAGCTTCTGCTCAAGAAAGAAGCCATTTTGATCTCCTGATTAGTTCAAATCTTCCTATAACAGGTTTTCATAAGACTGTATACTTTTTATTAGGACTTGTCATGGGTGCAATTTTACATCTATTTGTGTGATTACTTGATACCTCTCAGTATCCTCCACTAAACAATAAGCTCTAAGGAAGTAGGGACATGTTGTCTTTTGTTCGTTTTTATCTCCAGCCTCTAATACAGTGCCGGACATAGATGAGGCTCTTTCAGTGAGTATTTGCCAAAGGAAGAATGGTAGGAAGATGGGAAAGAAGGGAGGAAATAAAATAGAAGAAGATGAGTCCATATCTTCTCTATATTTGCCAATTTGCACCTGGAGCATTGGATTAAGTTCTGGGTGCCATATTTTGAGATAAAAACAAGCTGGAATATATTCAGAAGAAAGGAATCAGAAAGATCAGGAGAGGCAAAGTTGGGATTGATGCATCAAATAGGTAATTGGATGCTTTTTTCAATTTCTTCCAACCAAAAGTTTCTAATTCAAAGAAACTACTTCATGTTGTAAAATAATTTACATAATTCCTCTTTCACAAATTAAGGCATTTAAAAGGAAAACACTTTCATGTTTGTAAATAATCTTTAAAATAGTTTACTGAGAAAAAATGCATGAAAAAATTCTGCAGTGTCTCTGGGCACTTATTTTGATTGACTGGTGCAGGCACTTTTAGCCCCCTTTCTCCTGCTTTCTATTTCTATTCTAATACAACGGAATTATCTTTTTGCAATAAATTTCATGAGTAGTCTACTGTGAACATATATGTTCTAATCAAAGAAGATATAGCTTATAATGATTGTCAAAATCATTCTTTTTTATTATGTAGATTTACTGCCTGATTACTTCTAAGTGTGATTTTTTGCCTTTTGATACTATTGCTTATGTACATGAAATTTAGAGTTATGGATTAAAGAATATATAACCAGATTAGCTGCAAACTATGAACATTAATAAAAGAGACTAATAAAATTATAAAACTATCTACTATGGCTATTTATTGAAAATTACAAATTTCCTAAAAGTTGCTGATATTTGTTATGTATCATAAGCAATAGTTTTGACTTCCACAATTTTTTTCATTTGTGCTTCTCTTTTGTAAAAATACAAATTTTGTTTATTAATATCTTTCTTTAGACCAAAACAAATCATTCAGTGAAGGAGGAATTTATGTCAGTTTCTGGAAAAAGTATGAAGATTAATCCCTTCATTAGTCAAGGAGGAATTATAACTGATTTCTTCATTTTCTTCTGCATTATTTCAAGCACTTCTCTTTTATACTTCAGAAATCCATGATGCCAAATATATACTTCTCACAAATTATAAACCTTTGAATTACATCCCTGAGGAGTTTTCTGTTTGTTTCAACACCAATAAAAACAGAGAATTGAATTACATATTTCTGAATTAGGGAAGGATATTAATAATTTCAAAAGGAGGCATTGCATTCTGCAGCATTTAGTTAGCCACAGTGGAACAATATTAAACTGGATCTGCCTCATTCAGTAACCAAGCGTCAGTCAGTGACCACCTTAAGGGAGCCAAGCTCTAGGGTAGAAGCTATTGGAGTCTTGTGGCCATGATGTTGGAAGGAGAGGAAGGCACCCACTCTGTTTGGGAAAGATGCCTGGGTTGGAGCAACACTCACAGGGACATAGTCAAGGAACAATTCTTAGAAATCACATAGGATTGACCCCCAGCTCCAGACCCCAAGTAGGTAAAGGCCAAGGATAAGACAAATGGAAGAACTGAACCTTAGTCACTGGTAAAATCTCATGGGATTGTCTTAGAGCAGAATCCAGATAAGCTCCACTGCTGAGGCAGACAAAAAGTTAGATGGAGCTAGCACCACAGAGTGGAGAACAAAATTGCTTCAAATGAACCCTAAATAAATGGAAGGAACTTACAGAGTCCTCAGGTCACATTGACAGTATGGTCATACGTGTATTCCAAAAGTTAATGATTAAAAAAGACACACACACACACACACTTTGCCTCAGTTACATTCATGTATCTTATGAAAGCATTCTGCAAAATAATGATAATAAAAATTATTTGACTAACTACCTCAGACTTTTCCCCATTTTTGCATATCTAGCCATTGGCAGCATCTATGCAGAACAGGGAATGAAGATTTCAGATTGCTAAAAAACATTTCTAAAATCTCTTCTGAGAAATATTTTTTAAATGCACTTTGTCATCTTATCTGAATAAATACATTTATAAACATCGTTACCAGGTAGCAAGAGGTGATTCTGTCCAATGTTTGCAGAGATTTTATGGTTGGCAAATATAGTGTGAAATTTGCAAAGATATTGGGCTATGAGTGTGTTTACATTGGATAAGTAAAAAAGCCCCGCTTACCCGGTGAGCTTTATTAATGTAGACAGTCAATTTGAATAATATGGGCCCCAAAGTTTGCTTTTTCTTATCAAAACTTTTAGGTCAAAACTATTGAGAGAATGTTTCATCTCACAGCTCTCTTTCATTTTTATGGGAAGAGGTTTCAAATTTATGAAACACCAAATATTTACTACTTGACAAGATTAAAAGAAATTGCATTTGAAAATATTTGCTGTCAGCATACTCTATGATTTTTAAAAAATTTACTAATGAGGCTTTTAAAAAATAACCTTGGATCTCACAGACTTGAAGCAGTTATATTCTTTGCAGTAACTCTTGGGAAGCCACACATGTAATTAAACCCTGAGTCTAAATCTCTAATCACTTGGTTTTGACAACTTCTGTTTAGTGTGTTCTGCCAACAACATATTAATTAGATGTAACCCAGTGGTTTCAGGTCATTTCAGGAAAGCAAACAGAGCTCCAGGGATTACATGCTAAAACTCAACTATCTTCTTGGCTATTTTGTAAAATAAAGAAAGTGGAGACCTACAGTAATTCTCATAAAGACCAGCTATATGAGGAAAAAGAAGAGGTTTTGGACACATGTATTACCAAGATTATATGTCTCTATTAATTGTTTACTTTGCCAGCTTAGACCTATTCAGAGTAATCTGCTGAGTTCCAAAGGAAAACATAAGGGACTAAATAAACAACTTAAATCTTATGAAATAGTTTATTTGGAGAGTACACTGCTAAATAATAGAAGCAGGTGTGGAAAACATTTGTGCACCACACCAAGGATTTGTACCTAAGTCACTTAGAGGGGAATTATCATAATCATCTGTCCTAGTCATATCAGTGTTTGATATGTTGTCCTCCCAAAAGATTGATAATAAAATAATATCTCATCTTTATTATTATAGTAATAATAAAAATCACTGGACAAAAATCAGTATTTATCTACAATGTTGACTTGAATCATAACATTATTAAAATCCTTACATATATCAAAATAAAGTCATACCAACAGGCTTTATATGATTATAATATTGATTTAAAAATCACTAGGGAAAATGAATCTCTTTAGTATATTTTAGTTTTTTGTTTTTAGAATTTTAGAGAAAAATGTTCCCTGACCTTTTAAATAATTTCCCTGTCAGAAACATTAATTTCCTTCTATATTCAGTGCTGGGCCAGGATGTGGATGCTTTTGCTTTTCCCAACATGTGGTATTGCCTTTGGAGTAAAATTTAAATGGGACCAAGGTATTTCTGCTCCTGGCCCTACAGCTCCTGCCTCCAGGTCTGCAGCCTCTGGGTTTTCCTCAGCACCTTTTGCAGTTCCTTGAAAAGAAGCTTCCCTCTCAAAAGCATTATTAAGATAGACTTTACTGAAGACCTTGAGGAGAGAAAAAGGAGATTTGCTTTGCAAACTTCATAGAAAACAACATAAAAATTATATATATAAAAAAATATCTCCCAAGCTCCTTTCTCAGACACCCGCAACTCTTCTCTCTTTCTGATCATTCTGGCTAGTTTTTACTCTTCTTTCCTTTTGGATCTTCTCCTGGAAACTTCAAATCATTCCCCCATCTTTTGTGCAGAGCCATTCAACTCTGCCCATCTTCCATGCCAACATGGTATACTCAAACCCGGCATATAGGGCTTTCAGCCATAGGGCTAGAGGGACAAGTCCCACAAGCTTTGTAGGATGATTAATTAACCCATAGGGATCTCATCTTCCATACTAAGAAGTTTGTCCAAATGGTGTCTTTTCCTAAAAATATATGATGTTCTCCCTAGGAGAAATTTTGTAGAATAAAAAATTCTCCATTTGTTTTAATAATACTATCATTTTTCTGATTGAGCAATCCTAATATCCTTTAACTACACAGTAAGAAAGGCCAAGGAATAGGATAATGCACAAAGATATCCATCAACTCTCTGGAGAATTGTCTCCTAAAATAAACTCCAAGCAATTATAATATCAAAGTATACATTGCCACATATGTTTTGGTCAATCTAGAAGACCTGATTCTAAATACATATTTTTGTTTGAGAATGACCTTTAATTACTCATCATCACTTCTCCACTACATCCCCTAAGAGTAAATCCAGTTTTTAGATTAAAAAGCCTTAGAAAGTTTTATATCTCATAAGTTTATATTAAGGGGATCTAAATTATTTAAAGGAACAGATTCAGCCAATGAAAGAGCTTCTATTCAAAGACAAATGCTCTTTTCTTACAATATCAAAGAAATTTGGATTTGCAAATGTAGTTATTAAAGATGTCACTGTATGTTTAAGAAGTAACTTGCAAAACTGAATGAGCATTGGCTTAGAAACCTAAGAAGGGCCTTGGTGAGGTGATGAGGAGTTGGGTAAGGGTGGTGTGGGGTAAGTGAAAATGACGCCCATTTGATTTTCTAGTTGTGTGTTGTGATGCATGTTAACTTGACAAGAGAAAGGACTGGCAGCTCATAGTAACAGATCCAGGTCTGACTATGCCTCCATTTCTAACCTGTAACATTGGTGAGTTACCCAATCTTTCTAAGTTCCAACTTTCTCATCTGTAAAAAGGAAATAAGAAATCCTGCCTCAGGGCATTACTGTGAGCATTAATTATGTGAGAGTTTTACACATGGAAAGACATCAAGACAGTGCCATTGGATTTTCACAGATGCAGAGTGGTCAGGGTCTTACTGGTTTTTTTGGTGAGCCTCTTCTTCCTTCTAGTCTCAACCCAGTGTGTCTCCCTGTCAGTTCCCGAAATCATCTGTGCTTGGCACTGAGCAAACTTCTGTGGAGATTACTTTGACCTAATATTTCTCAAAACTTTGCAGGGTTAGTTCTAGGGCCACCTTTTCCATAGGCACTAGGCACATTTACTCTTGTAGGCCTCTGCCTCCAAAAAATCTTAAAAATTATGTTTTGCAAATCTGTTGGTATAAAGATAATTCAGGCTTGATTCATTTTTATATATTCATTATTATATAACATTCACTTTTCCTTCTGATTTTTAAAAGAACTTAGCCCTTTTTTGTGTGCCCCTAAAAGTATATTGGGCCCTAGGCAGGGTGCTTACTGTGCCTAATTCCTTTTTTTAAAAAAAATATTTATTTATTTATTTATCTATATTTTATTTTTTGAGACTGAGTCTTGCTCTGTCACGAGGTTGGGGTATAGTGGCGCGATCTAGGCTCACTGCAACCTCCGCCTCCTGGGTTCAAGCAATTCCCCTGCCTCAGCCTCCTGAGTAGCTGGGACTACAGGCATGTGCCACCACACCCGACTAATTTTTTGTATTTTAGTAGAGACGGGGTTTCACCATGTTGGCCAGGACGGTCTTGATCTCCTGACCTCGTGATCCGCCTGCCTCTGCCTCCCAAAGGGCTGGGATTACAGGCGTGAGCCACCGCTCCCGGCCACTCTGCCTAATTCCTGTCGGAGTCTCCAACTTTTCATTTGTAGTACTTTTTCTTAAGTATTTGAGAAAAATTCTCAATCCCCTCTCTTCTTTTGCTCTTCGTTGCACACATTAATTTTCTCTAATCTTTCTTCATAGATTCATTTCTTTTATCCTTTTATCATCTTGGTTTCCCTCTTTTGGATCCCTGTGGATTTTAGTGAAGGTATTGATGTTTCTTTTTGGTAAGCAGAAAATTATACATAATACCCTGGGCCACCTGATGGAGGCCATAGTGAATAAAATGATTTATTTCCTCTTAGACATGTGAAACTCTACTTTTTGAACTTTTCTAAGTGCATTTGTGCTTTTTAATTTTTATTTGTCTTTAGTAGCTATTAGGGCATATTTAATTTCTTCTGAACTCTTACCCCTAGATTTTTACTGCTCTCCAAATGTCATTGTTTCATTTGTTCCTTTTTGACTTCATACACGAAATATTCCCAAACCAATAATAAATCAAACATTTAGCCATGGAGATTGAACGCACCATCACCTGTCTCCAAAGTGTAACTGTTAAAAGAAAGGAACAACCCGAGGGACCCAGATTTTAAGAGGGCTTACAACAGAGTGGCTCTCGAAATATGACACAATTCGCCTTTCAGTGGTACTTGGTGATCTCTTACTAAAAATGTTCACTTCACATTGATCTAGAAGTCACTTATACTAGTTTTCATTATATCTCATTTACTAGTTTATATTTTATTTGATTCCCAGTTTTAAAAATGTAGGTGTGTAGAAAAAAAAAACATGGTTTATCTCCCTGACACCCCAGTTTTACTAATGAGCACTGGATTCAAGTTCTTAAAAAACTAACTTTTTATTTATACTCTACCTTATTTCACAGAAAAGACTTAAGGAGGTCTATAAAAATGCATACATTTTGGTAATATAAAATACATTTAAATAAATTGGGGGAAAATCAAAGAGAATATAGGGAAATAAGTTGGAAACAGATATGATGATGTATGCCATCCATGCACACACTCTTGCTGGCAGCAGGTCATAATTGGACTCCAAGCTGAGTTTTTGAATTCTAAGTAAGCCAAACAATGTAGACCTCATTTTTTCCACCTAAAAACTGGTGAGAAAAAATGTTTACCAGATACTTACTTAGGATAAATAGAAATAATATCAAATAATTTTTAAATGGGTATGACTCCTTTAAAGGAAAGACAAAGGCTTATATTGTAAAGACTCCCACTGCTTTCTACCGCCCCTCTGTCCCCCGCCCACCACCACCAACCTTCCCATCCTCAAGGTCTAATTTCTCAGTAACAGAAGAAAGTGTCAATTATATACAGAAATTCTCATCTGCTTTTTAAAAATTATTAGGGCCATCAGGTTGTGCACTGCCAAACTCTAGGGAGTACTATCCACAGACTACATGCTAGAAATCTTAAAAATTAGGAAACATAACATAAAAATTGGGAAAACTCTTATAAAGAATATAAGAAGAGCATAAACTGTATCTTAATTACACAGAGATAACACCTGTTAACACTTTGTTTCCCTCCAGTTTTATTTTTATAGGACAAATTCCTAAAAGAGAATATCTTGTGTCAAAAGATATGAGATGTTTAAAACTCCTGAGACATTTTGCCCAATTACCCTCCCATCTGTAGTGTATATGAATGGCTATTTCAGTACACCTTTGTTATTTTATGGCCTCATTTCCTCATTTATTACATGAAGGTAATATTACCTTATATTAATGATATTAATATACCACCTCGGGTTCCTCATTCATACAACGAAGATAATAATACCTAGCAATAACCCTATTTCCTCACAGGATTGTTACAAGTGTTAAATAAGTTAGTAGTATATAAAGTACTTAAGGCAATGTCACACACAGTTTTGCTCTTATTATTTGCAAATATGGTAAGTAAAAGCAGTTTATTTTATTTTGTTTTTAGTTATTAAGAATATGGAATGTATTTTTATATATTTATTAAACATTTTTATTTCTTCTTTCATGAATTGCCTGTTTATATCTTTAGCACAACTTCCCAATGAGTGTTTGGTTATTATTTATGTACTCTTCATATACTAAGGGTATTAACCCTGTGTCTGGCATAAATGTCTTAAATATTTCCCTCAGTTCTTTGTCATTTAATTTTGGTTATTTTTTTTTTACATACAGACATTTAAGTTTGTTATTAAATCAAATAACTAACCTGTATGTACAGGGTTTTTTTCTTTTTTCTTTTTATTATTTAGGAAGTGTATTATTTTTCTGTGGCTGATATAACATATTACCACAAACTGGGTGACTTAAAATAACAGAAATTTATCTCTCATGCTTCTTAAAGCTAGAAGTCCAAAATCAAGATCTTGGTAGGATTGGTTCCTTCTGGGGACTGTGAGAAACTCTTCCATGCTTCTCTCCTAGCTTTTGGTGCTCTCGGCCATCCTTGACATTCCTTGGCTTGTAAATGCATCACTCCAGTTTCTGCCTCCACTTTTACACGGTCTTCTCCCCTGTATATCTGCGACTCTGTGTCCAAATTTCCCTCTTCTTATAAGGACACCAGTCATATTGGATTTAGGACACATATCTATCCAATATAACCTCATCTTAATCTCTGCAGATGTAATCTGCAGAGACCAAATGACGTCGCATTCACAAGTACAGGTAGACATAAATTTTTAGAAATAATATCAAATTATTCAACCCAGTATAAGAAGTAATTTTATATTCCAAAACCACAAAAGTATTCAGCTATATGTTCATTTATATATGTGTTTATTTATTTTTACATTAAATTCTTTAATGTATCTGGATCTCCAATGTTTTCTGATATAATTAGTAATTAATTAGACTGAAGTACATTACCTCGAAATTTAAGAGTCCTCCCATTTTTTTCAAGCAGTAAGGTAAAGGTAAAATACCAAATGTAGCATTTAAGTCAAACCTTAGAAGTTTCACACACAGAGAAAAAATAAGAAAATATTTTAAAAGGGCAATTTGATGACCTAGAACTTGCCTAATATTACCTGTTGCAAAATAAGTACTCCTTATTTTGGAAATCTTCATATTTACTAGATAATTCTCATGCCTCCCTTCCAAGGATTTATATCATTTTATACAGATGAAATTATGCCCTAATTTATCAGGTGCTGCTCAGCTAAACAGAAGATATTAGTATCACAGAAAGCCCTGCAGCATTTTCTTTTTTTTTTTGGTCCTCAATTACCCCATCTGTTCGCTTTCATGTCACATTTTCTCCGAGATCTAGCTTTCAGATGCATGAACGCTCTACCCAGTGCTTTGACTTTATTCATTTCCATATTTATCCCTCCTCATCCTGGAGTGGTTGTACTGATAGGACCCTGTTTGTTCGCCATATACTTTTCCAATAGTCACATTTGATTCTTTAGTGATTATCAATTATATTAGCTTTCAACAAGTTTCCTTCTTGGGTTGCCTTGCTGTCTATGTAATGTTACAGTCTGCAATGCCTTGTGCTTTGATTCTCCACAATAGTAAAGAACACATATATTTTGGCCACTAAAACTATGATCCTCTCTATCCTGCCTGAAATATCTATGCATAGACTGGTATGCTAATTTATCCCATATCAGTTATCTCTTTTCTGGAGATCTCTGTACTTCCACTAAAGATTTTAGGTGTCCCTATACACCACTAAAAACTACGGCATTGAAGGCATTTTATCTACTTCAATATTTTCTGTGTTGTGTAAATGCCACTTAATGTAAAGTTTAAGCTGTTCTTTAAATTGATATATACATCCTATATTAATCCACCCAAAAGTGAAGTTGGAAAAATTGTTTTCAATCAGTTGCTAAAGATGCACGAATAAAAATATTCCTTCTGGATATGAACTGCTGGGTACTGGGAGGAAATAAAACAAATCAATAGACTAATATTAAATTAAGGAAATATCAAAACAATACAATAAAAATTATTTTTTGACAAAATGAATCACCATATCTATAGCTTGTATCTCATATATAGCTCTGTTTAGAATGTAAGTGGCTAACCAACATTAGGACACATGGTCATTAGAACTCATTGGGTGTTATTTTATATATGAATATATATAAATATTGTTATCATTGAACACAAAGTATACACAAGTATGCCAGGCCCCATTCTATCTTGTGTCTGCAAGGCCACCAGCAAAATTGTCCCAGATGGAAATGTTATCATGAACTCTCTGGGCTTCCCTTAGTTTTTCTACATAATTGTTATCATCAAATAGTCCTAAGATCTACTGGGGGTGTTTCCTTTGAAACATACTTTTATTGGACCACAGCTATAGTTGCTAATAGAGAACTTTGCTTCTGTGTGAGTCAAGAGGTCCTAATTAGAATATTTAGCCAAGAGTTGTTAACAGATGTTAACAGGTTTCTGACCTGCAATCATTGCAATGAAGGCCTGGCTACTATCATGAGCCATCATTTTTATTCACCTGACAAATAATTATGGGGCACCTACTATGCATCAAATCCAATTCTAGGCATCAATAAACAAAATAGAAAATGATTTTCTGTTCATATGGAATTTACGGTACAGTACATCCTTTTCAACCCAGACTGTGAAATCCACAGCTTCCTAAGACTAATGTTCCAAAAGGGATGTTAAGAATAGCAGAAAGGCGGGACACGGTGGCTCACACCTGTAATCCCAGCACTTTGGGAGGCTGAGGGGGGCTGGTAACCTGAGGTCAAGAGTTCAAGACCAGCCTGACCAACATGGTGAAACCTCATCTCTACTAAAAATACAAAAAAAAAAATTACCAGGGCGTGGTGGCACGTGCCTGTAGTCCCAGTTACTCTGGGAGGCTGAGGCAGGAGAATCGCTGGAACCCAGGAGGCGAAGGTTGCATTGAGCCAAGATCAAGCCACTGCACTTCAGTCTGGGTGACAGAGGGAGATTCCATCTCAAAAAAAAAAAAAAAAAATAGCAGAAATAACTAACTTTTTATTGAGATCCGGTAAGAATGACTTTTTTTTTCATAAACTGGAATAAATACGAATTCTCAATTGAGAAATGTAATAGGGTCTATATTAATACTATAATAACAGTGGGAAAAAACTATTATAAGGTAGGGTGTTACTGCCATTGGGATGAAATGAATGTGAGGGCCATTTGGATTCTCTTTAGCAGCTGTTAAGTCTAGTTCATTAATAGCAGAGCTTAAAAGCAGCCGTGCATAGAACAAATTAGGCAGCTTTGGACTGTGCTTTCTTGAAGTTCTAGACTAAAGGTAAGAACAGTACCAAACCAAATACTGGGTTCATTCGGTCCTTTAATCTTTTTGTTCAGCAGTGGAATGCTAAATGACAGGAGAATGCATCTTCATAAACAATAATGATCTGTGTCTGATGTCAGCTGCAAAGCCATCTAGAAACAAACCACAGCCTTGCTCAACTGAGCAGCTGCCATTTCCCTGGCCCTACTTTTATTGTTGCAGAGCTGGGAATCACAAACAATGGTCCTGCACCTGCTGCCAGGCCTGCCAGAGTGATGATGGTGCCGTCATTCAGGCCAAGAGGAAAGGACCATAAAAACAGACACATGCCCTCACAAGCTCAGCTGCTCCCCTCCCTGGTGCTGCCGTCCTGCCAAACCTATGGCCAGTCCAGGTTGTCGCACAACTGTGCAGACCATTGCAGGAGACAGACAGATTCTCTGGGGAGGCACAAGTAAATTTGGTCAGGTTGGACTCAGCTTCATTAACTTCCTGTGGGAGAAAAAGTGTAGCCTGAGTGTTAGAGAGGGGCACATGTGGGACTCCCTAATGCACGTGACTGTTCTCTTTGTCTTCTTCTTATATTTTTATCTGTCAATTCCCTTCATCAACCCAATGGTGATGAGATATAGCCTGTTTGCCATACCCAGAAAAGAGAGATAAGAGTCTTTTATGATAGCTTATATCTTCTCTTTGACTTTCTCCTCCTGGATGATTTAGGCTTTCACCACTACTTCTCTTGGGATGACTCTCCCAAACCATCAGTTCAATATGGAATCCTGGAACTTTAGTGCTAAAAGTTGCCACTGAAATTGTCCTGTCTAACTTCCAAATGTTAAAGTTAAGAAAACTGAAGCTCTGAAATGGCAAATGACTTTCCAAGATTGTACAAAGAAGGGGCTAAAAAAATCAGATTAGAACCTGCCTCGACTCCCAACCTAGTGCTCCTTCCACCACTCCGTATCCTCTCTAATGCCTCCTACAACATCTTCCCCTCTCCCCTTACTTTTATTTCTATAGTCGATTTTGTATTCCAAGTAGTTGTTGAGTTTCACACAGCTTTGTAATAGCTTCCTGGCTCATATCCCACCTGCATGCACAAATCTCTTCTAAGATAACCACTGCAGATTACATGTTAAAAATGTATTTAAAAGTGCTTTTTGTGGTTATTTTAACTAAGGCTTCTTGTTGCCTCAAATGAGGTCAAAGTAGATACAACCCACCTTGCCTGCCTATCTCCAAAAGGCTACTATGTCTCTCTTATTCTCTAGCCTAAACTGACAGTTCCCTGTTCTTGGAATACTGCCCATATTTTTCCACTTACTGCTTCTTCCATTTGGAATGGCCATCCAAAATCTCTGCCTCTCAATGGGCACCCCAGCCTTTAAGACTCAGATGAGACGTCACCTCTTCCATGAAGCCATCACTTAGGTCCCAAACTCTTCCTTCTGTATTTTCCCATGATGTGTAATTCCTCTTTTATATACCATGTGAAAGTGTAGTTATTAGTGTATATATTTTATCCTTTCAAGTAGATTTAAAATTTTCCTATGCCTTAGATTCTGTCCCATACAGTCTTCTACCCTGCAGTCCCTCCCAACAGTATCTAACATAGTGCCTTGAATATAATTGATGTTCAGTGATATTAATTGAATGTTATACTATTTGATCAAGGTCTGACAACAATAGTTTTACTCTAGGTTAGAAAGTTCATTTTGGAGCCGAGCACAGTGGCTCACGCCTGTAATCCCAGCACTTTGGGAGGCCGAGGCGGGCAGATCACGAGGTCAGGAGATCGAGACCATCCTGGCTAACAAGATGAAACCCCGTCTCTACTAAAAATACAAAAAATTAGCTGGTGTGGTGGCGGGCGCCTGTAGTCCCAGCTACTCGGGAGGCTGAGGCAGGAGAATGGCATGAACCTGGGAGGCAGAGCTTGCAGTGAGCTGAGATCCCGCCACTGCGCTCCAGCCTGGACAACAGAGTGAGACTCTGTCTCAAAAAAAAAAAAAAAAAAAAAGGAAAAGAAAAAAAGTTCATTTTGACTTTTCAAACTGTATCACTGTATCTATTGCATCATGGCATCTTGGAATTAGAAACCAAAGACCAAGAAAGATATTTAAAATTATACTAAAACATACATAACAGAATATCGACCTTTTTTTTTTTTCTGTCGCTTATACTTTATTGGTCAACTCTAGGCCTGTGTGCGGCTGGGTGGGCTTGTAGGAGGGCATCACTATTTACTAGTTCCCAGGTGGAGGCATGAGACGGCCTTGGTCTAGCCTTCCAGTGTCCCAGACTGTGGACTTTGGAGGGGCAGGTCTGGCCTTTCCTGGGTCAGCACAGGGCACCCAGGTGGCGGCACTGGTGGGCAGCCAGCACAGGCACCTAGGTAAGGGCACAAGCTCACTATCCGTCAGCCAGCCTAATTGTGTTTGGATAAATTTTCCTTGCTGTCACCCACGTTGAGCTTAATCGTGTCAGTGCCAGGCTTCCAGCCAGCGGGACAAACTTCCGCGTGCTCTTCTGCGTACTGGAAGGCCTGGACCAGCCGCAGAGCCTCATCCACGGAGCGTCCCACAGGCAAATCATTAACAGTGATCTGGAAAGGACACCCTTGCCATCACTGATAAAGCGGCCCCTGTAGGCAATGCCCGCATCTGTTTTCAGCACGGCGTAATCCTCAGACAAGCCACTGGCCACCTCAGCAAGCAGGGGGATGTTCAGGGGGCCCAAGTCTCCCTCCCTCTGGGGGTTGTTGATCCAAGCCAGGTGGGTGAACTGAGAGTCCACTGAGATGCCCAGCACTTCGCAGCCCAGCTTGCGGAAGTCCTCGGCATGGTCGCTGAACGCGATGATCTCCGTGGGGCACACAAAAGTGAAGTGCAGAGGGTAGAAAAAGAGGACCACGTATTTCTCTTTGTAGTCCTACAGCTTCACTTCTTTGAAAGCGCTATCCATCCACCACGGCGGTGGCCTTGAAGTCAGGGGCGGGCTATGCCATGCGCGCGATTACGGAGGCCATGACTGAAAGCTGCGTGGGCTAAGGCTGGACTCACGGGCAACCAGACGCGTGGACTCACGTTCTCAGGACCAAAACTGACCATCTTAACCAACTTTACACGTAAAGTTCAGTGGTATTAAGTACATTCATATTGTTCTGTAATTATCACTACTATCCATCTTCAGAACTTTTTTCATTCTGCAAAACTGAAACTCTATACCCATTAAACAATAACTCCCCATTCCCCTTTCCTCCCAGCCCCTGGGAACCATAATTCTAATATCAAATTCTATGAATCTGACTATTATAAGCACCACATATAAGTGAAATCATACAGTATTTGTCTTTTTGTGCTGGCTTATTTCACTTAGCATAATGACTTCAAGGTTCATTAATATTATAACATGTGTCAGGATTTCCTTCTTTTTAAAGGCTGAATAGTGATTATATAGAGAGAATATTTTGTATATATATTATATATGTAATATTCCATCTCTCTCTCTCACACACACACACACACACACATATCACGTTTTAGTTATCCATTTATCCATAAGTGGACACTTGCCTTGCTTCCATTTTTGGCTATTGTAAATAATGTCACTGTGAACATGGGTGTAAAAATCTCTCTTTGAGATCCTGCTTTTAATTCTCTTGGGTAAACACACAAAAGTGGAATGGATCATATGGTAACTGTATTTTTAATTTTTTAAAGGGATCTCCATGCTGTTTTCTACAATTCTACATTAAAAAGTTGGATTCTAGGCTGGGCATGGTGGCTTATGTCTGTAATCTCAGCACTTTGGGAAGCCAAGGCGGGTGGATCACGAGGTCAGGAGTTCAAGACCAGCCTGGCCAAGATGGTGAAACCCTTGTCTCTACTAAAAATACAAAAATATTAGCCGGGCGTGGTGGCATGCACCTGTAATCCCAGCTACTCAGGAGGCTGGGGCAGAGAATTGCTTGAACCTGGGAGGCAGAGGTTGCAGTGAGCCAAGATTGCACCACTGTACTCTAGCCTGGGTGACAGAGTCAGACTCCGTCTCAAAAAAAAAAAAAAAAAAAAAAAGTTGGATTCTTTTAAAAAATCTTCCAAAAGTCTAACATGTAAGAGAATATCTGAAGTAAGAAATAACAGAAACTACAGCACAGCACTGCTATCTATCCAAGCTGCTTTAGTCAGATGAATCACAGCTGGTGTTCAGAAGCCAGTTCAGTGTAAAAAAATATGACACACAGCCTGTGGTTCCTGAGCCTGACTGTGTGTGAGAATCTTCACACCAGATAGTTGAAGCTAGAACCTCTGGGAACTTGGAATCACATAGAGCTCCCCCAACAGTTATAGTCCTCGCCTGGCCATATGTGAGGAGTCTTTTCATGGATTATGAGTATGTCCACAAACTTGGACTGATAGTATTGATGCAATTAATATTTACTTAAAAATATCTAGTTGTTTAAATAGGTTCACATCCATGGAGATACCATGAGGCAACCATGTACGCCCTCAGGTAACTCCATAGTGGTAGGGCAGATAAACTGGAGACAGGGAGATAGACCGTGGAGCCAGACCCAACAGGAAGGAAGTGGACAAGAAAACAGATGAGTGTGCAGGAAATCAGTAGCTACAGATTTCATTGGCCCTACATATGGTAGTCAGGGAGATGAGAGAAGACACAGTATAAAAGAGGATCCAAGAGTAAGCAAAACTTGGAAATTTGGGAAGGCAGTTGGCATCAGGGAAGTCCATCAGTAGGGGGCAAGAGCAAGGCAAAATAGGGGACAGGGGAAAAGATACTAGGCCTAGGGGAAATAACATATTAGGCAGTTCACAAAATTAAAAAGAAATTAGGCACAAATGAACAACTAGGGCATAAAATAAGAACTAATATCAAAGGCAGCATCCCCTCTTTCTGCCATTTCTTCATTTTGTCATTCTTTCATCCATTCAGTGGCAATTGCTGTAGACTTACTTGGTGCTTGGCAATATGGGTCCAGACTGCTCTTCTGGAATCCTTTAATCCCTTTTGTTTAAGATAAGGAATAGTCCAAAAATCCTACCACAGAATGTCATTACTAACAACATGTACACTGGTTGCTTCCCTTACTTTAAGTAGTGTGCATATGCACGTTTTCCAAACAGCCTGGGTCTGTAAATAAAAAGTGGTCACTCTTTCAGTAGGTATCTTAACAATACCATTAAAAGAGGCTTTTCACTCTGTCAGCATTGTTTTGAATTCCAATTTTGCCAGTGCTTTCTTCATTAATTTAAGAAGTGATTACCCAGCCAGTAGACTATTTTTTTCCTGATGTTCTTTTTTTCTCCTCTTCTCTCTCCTGTGCTATGCTTTATGAACTCTCATTGCTCATTAAATTAATGTGTGAGCAGGAGTTGGAAAAATAACTAAACTAAAATTAGTCATGTTTTCTAGTTTTTACCAGTATTGATATGATTTACTAGAGAAGGAAATTGGAACTGTGAACTAAAATTAAGCTTTTGAATTATCGGAAGATTTCATTCATCCTTGTTATTCCCAACCCTAGGGAAGAACTCTGTTCACCATGAGTGGGGAAAAAGTTTCATGCAGTAACATAATCTAGTTTTAAATGCTTTTTCTGAATTCTGAACAAGCATAAATTGTCTCTATTTCTTGAAATTTAGGTTAGCAATCTTAATTTAAAATATGCTGCCCATAATTTCATCATTTGTGAATGTGTTAATTAAACTGGTAATGTTATCAAAACAAAATTGAGTTTCAATTTAGTTTTGTGAATATATTTTTCATAACTAAAAACAGTTTTATAGTTAATGTAGACATAGAGCATTCTTCGAATAAATAATCATCATTACCCAAATTAAGCAAGTGTTTGAGTGTCCTTTCAGTCCTCTCATGGTACATTATTTCTGACTGTAACATACCACTGACTTATCTGCCCCTCAGCAAATGACTTACTTTAATGCATCCATTATTCTTTCTGAAACTGTGCTCTTTTTTCTTCTTGCTTTGTTTTACCTTCATGATATCTTTGTTGTCAAACAGGTATTTAAGGTTATCACTACTGAGAGTTTTTCTAGAAGACATTCAATATACTAGAAGTAGAGAAAGAATGATTTATTCTGCTGTCATCTTCATTATCTTATGCAAAAAGTCAACAAGAAAATTCAACATAAATGCTTTACAATAGCAAAATTCAATATAAATGATAGAACTGGTACATCTTTCTCTCTCTAGTCTATTGTTTTCCAAGGTTGTTCTAAAAATGCCTAGTTCATAGGATGCTCCACATAAAAATGGTTCTGGGATGAGATGACTTTGGAGAATGCTGCACTGCATACTCACCTTTGGAGATATCCAAGGCCTATTAGTATATTACGGGCTGAATAAACTTGCTGTAAAGTAACCTGCATAACTTTATTCAAGTGTTTTCCACAATTATTTAGACAGAGAATCATTTCCTCTCCTCTTGGAAGAAGTGTTCCAAAAATAAATGTAAGAAACACTGATTTATTGTTTCCTGCTTAAAACACACTTACTAGTATCTGTGTCATTACTATATGTTAAACATACAGTACAAAAAGAGCTGCCTTCTGACTAGCAAATTATATGCTAACTTTAAAATACAATGTAGGTTTGGAGTGCTGTCAACAAGATGGCAGAATAGGAATTGTTAGCCCTCATCCTGCCACAGAAACACCAATTTAACAGTGATATATGAACCCAAATATCTTTATGAGAAGTTCAAAATTCACTTAAGAAGTTGCAGTCACTCAGATTCACATAAAACCAAAATACCACATTGAACTAGGCAAAAGAGCAATTTCACTTTACTCACATCACTTCCTTCCTCAGGCACAGTTCAGTGTCAAGAAAGATTGCTTCAGCCCATGACTCCTCTCTTGGAGGGAAAGAAAGGAGTATGCACCCAACATTCTCAGTCTTTTGGGGTGCTGAGAGACCTGTTTCTGTTCTACCTCACTCAGAGTGCTAAAGAAACCACAGCATAGTTTTAACACCTGGGGACAGCTAAGAACAAAAAACATGGGGTAGACAGCTTACTGCAGCCAGCATGGTTCTGCAAGACTGGGAGAAGGCATACAATCCTAACATTTCTCTCCCAGAAGATGAGGGAGAAGAGTGAAGCATGCATCCAATGCCCTGGTCTTTTATTGCACTGCCCTAGGGAAAAGGGGTTGGCAGCTTACCATGGCCAGCATCGCTCCTTGCAATTGAGAGAAGGTGCACAACACTACAATTTATCCCTCAGGAGGAAGAGAGAGAAGTAGAGAATGCAATGCACATCTATAGAGAAGGTTTGGGAGGCTCCTAGAATCTCTAACCAGGTTTACTGGTGAAGATCTTTTCCTACTGAAGCCAGTCTTTAAAGATTAGAGGAGGTGGCTATTTCTTCAAATGTGCAGGCATCAACAAAAACTACAAAAAGCACCAAAAATTAGCAAAATATGACACAATCAAGGAACAAAATAAATGTGTAACAACTGACCATAAAGAAATAGAGATATATGAATTGCCTGACAAAGAATTCAAATTAATCATCTTAAAGAAGCTCAGTGTGTTACAGGACAGCACAGACAACTAAATAAAATCAGGAAAATTATACATGAACAAAATGAGACTATCAACAAAGAAATAAAACCATAAAAAAGAACCAAATAGAAATTCTAGAGCTGAAGAATACAATACCTAATATCTAAACTGAAAAATTCAGCAAATTAAATTGTAGACTTGATTAAACAGAAGAAGTAATTTAAAAATATGGGTCATTTGAAATTATCTAGTTAGAGAAACAAAAAGGAAAAATAGTAAAGAAAATCTAAGGACCTATGAGACACCTTCTAGCAAACTAGTTTATGTACTATGTAAATTTTAGAAGGAGAGCGAGAAAGGGGTAGAAAGTTTATTTAAAGAAATAATCTTGAAAACTTCCCAAATCTTGGGAGATATATGGAACTGCAGTTTCATTAAGTCTAAAAGACCCAAATAGGATTAAATCTACACCAAAATACATTATTATCAAATTGCCAAACATCAAAGACAAGGAATTTTCAAAGCAGCAAGAGAAAAGTGATTTGTCCCATGCAAGAGATCCTCTATCAGACCATCAGTGAACTTCTCAGATGAAGGCTTGCAGGCCAGAAGAGAGGATAATAATAAAGAAAATAATGCTGGGAAAAAAATGACAAAACATCAACCAAGAATACTATAACCAGCAAACTGTATTTCAGAAATGAAGGAGAGGGAAAGACTTTCCCAGACAAACAAAAGCTGAAGTTTATCTCCACTAAACTCGCATCTCAAGAAATACTAAAGGGAATTCTTTAAATTGCAACAAAATGATGCTAAGCAGTATCACAAGAGCATATGAAAGTATAAAACCCACTGGTACAAGTAAATACATAGATAAATACAGAATATTATAATACTGTACAGGTGGTATATAAATCACCTGTAGTATAAATGTTAAAAGACAAAAGTATTAAGAATAACTATAAAAGAAAAACTACCAAATTTTTTCAATGTATACACAACATAAAAGATGTAAATTGTGACATAAATAACATAAAGTGTGAGTGGTTGGAGAAGTAAAAGTAGAATTTTTTTGTGTGACAGTAGTTAAGTTGTTATCAGTTAAAAATAGACTGGTACAACTATAAGATGTTCTATCTAGCCTCATGGTAACCACAAAGAAAATACCTATAGAAGATAACAGGAAGGCTGGGAGAGATGGCTCATGCCTCTAATCCCAGCACTTTGTGAGCCCAAGGCAGAGGATGATTTGAGACCACGAGTGTGAGATTAGCCTGAGGCAATATAGTGAGAGCTCATTTCTACAAAATAATTTTTTTTAAAAAATTAGCCAGGCATGGTTGTGTACCCCTATAGTCCCAGATACTTGGGAGGCTGAGGCAAGAAGATCACTTTAGCCCAGGAGTTTGAGGCTGTTGTGAGCTATGATTGCATCACTGCACTCCAGCCTGGGTGACAGAGCAAGACCCTGTCTCCAAAAAAGAAGCTACAGGGAAGAAAGAGAAAGAAATCAAAACACATTATTATTTTAAAAAAATCAGTAAAGCACAAAGTAAGATAGCAGGAGAGGAAAAGAAGAACAAAAGAACTGCAAGATCAACAGAAAATAACTAACAAAATGACAATAGTAAGTCCCTCCTATCAATAATTACTTTAAATGTCAATGTATTAACCACCCAAATCAAAAGAGATAGAGTTGCTGAATGAATAAAAAAATAAAAACAAGACTGAACTATATGTCTACAAGAGACTTGTTTTAGATTTAAGGACACATGTAGGCTGAAAGTAAAAAGATGTTCTATGCAAATAATAAATGAAAACAGGGATGGCTACACCTGTATCAGAATTAAAATAGACATTAAGTCAAAATGCAATGTAGATTTCATTATTCCAAACACTGGCTAGATCATATCTAACAAATAATGCCAGATAGTTAATATTAGTGTGCCGAGGAAAAGTACAAAAGTGAAATATTTCCTGGGCCTTTAGGATCTTCAATCAATTGTAAATCAAATTTATATAGCTTAAAATTACTATTTGTTTCTTATTGAAAAAACAAGTACAGTCAGCGCTCCATATCTATGGGTTCTGCATCTGTAGGTTCAGCCAACCATTGATGAAAAATATTTTTAAAAAACCCACAACAATATACATAGTAACAGTACAATAAAAAATTATACAGATTTAAACAATATAGTATGACAACTATTGACATAGCATTTCCATTGTATTAGGTATTATAAGTAATCTAGAGATGATTTAAAGTATGCAGGAGGATACGTGTAGGTTATATGCATTTACTATGCTATTTTATATAAGGGCCTTGAGCATTTGCAGATTTGGGTATCTGCAGAGGGTCCTGGAACCAGTACCTTGTGGATACCAAGGATATGAGAATTAGTATCATTTCTTTTTTTGACAAGATGAACTATTTTAAGTTGTAGTATTTCTTTTTTTAAAAGATGGTTATTCTTGCCAGCAATTTTTTGATAATTAGAACTGAAAAAGAATAGTTGTTTCTTCTCTTTTATCATTTCCTTAAATCGAAATTATGTTTCAATGAAAATTTACTGTTTTCTTCTTATACAACTGAGTTCTTTCTTTCCATTAGACTAACATTTCCATGGGCCTTTGGGATATCAAAGGAAACAGCGTGGGAGGGGCAAGATTATGATGCACATATTTCTATCCCATCTTTGCTCTTGTGAGTAAACAACTCCATTTAGCTTCTCATCAAGTTTTCACATTGTGATAGGTAAAGCAACGAGACGCAAATGGACTTCAAAACACCTGGCCCTAAATAGGGGGCTTGGAAAATAAATTAATTTAGAATGTAAAAGCTAGATGTCACCTCAGAAATAATCTAATTCAAGGGCTCTCAATGCTGGCTGCAGCATAGAACCACATAGACAGCTGAGAAACAAACAAACCAGCAAGCAAACAAACAAATGGCAATGGTTGAAGTCCCAGTACACAGATTAATATTAATTAATTAATTAGTACTCCAGTGAAATCTGGAGTCTGAGACTTAATATTTTAAAGAACTCTCCAATGATGGGGAGACGGAGAATCAAAAGAGAAGTTAACGATGATAACAACTAATCCTCTCAAACTCCATCACATTCGGAGTGAGGAATTTCTTGAGCAAGTAAGTGATTTTCTTGTTTACTGTTGGAAAATCAGTTAGTCCATTTGAATTAGAAAGCAGATCTTCTTATCCTTAACCTGAGCACTTTCCATCATATAGCATTGCCTTTCCTCACCATTCTCCTTAGCTACATGAAATTTTTTTTCATGGACAAGTCATACAACTTCTTTGATGTTCATGTTTTGCTTTACCTGGTCAATAGTACCCAACAGGACCATTTTAGGATCAAATAATAACTATAAAACATGCCTGTTTTATATGTGTTATTAAATGTATATGGCATTGCTGATATATTACAAGTGATCCAAACTACATTGTTCATTTACACTAATTAATAGAATGTTTCCCATCAGCTTTTACTTGAAGAAGGGTTTTCCCAATTTTTCTTGGAAATCTAAGACCATCTCTTAGCATGTTATTTACTCCCAGATTCAATCTCTTTGCCGAAGCTACTGAGTTATTTTCAACATCCAACCCACTCTGGGACATAATCCCTTCTTAGTGACTTTACAAAAAACAAAAAAACAAAATAAGAATTCTTAAATAAGTGGCTAGCGCCATGTCCTGGACTATGATATTGTTTTGTTGCACTACAAAATAAGAAGTGAGAGCAAGAGAAAGTACTTTCTCCACACCGGAGTCCCCACAGGGACACAGCCAGCAGCCTGGCCCCTTTGGAATGGAACACCTGCCTCCTCTGCCTGCTGGGTCCCTTCTCCTTTGAGCCCCCACCTCACACAGCACGTTCTACACCTGGCCAGCTGCTCCCTCAACTCCGGTGGAGCCTTCTTTACCAGTGGCTCTGCCTTACTTACACTCAGAGAAAGGCTGTAGGAAGGGGATGAAGACAGGCTACCCCCATGATAGAATGCCAGGGCTGCTAGTATGTCTCCACAGAGAAGATAAGCTACGTTGCTTATCTAAGAGCTGGAACTCCAGGTGCTTCTTGGGGTGATCTTTGGAGTCCCAGCATCATTTGAGGTCAATAGAGATAGACGGGTTGTTGAGTAGGTGGTATGCTAAACTCCCATCCAAGGAAAAGTGCAGAAAGTACCACTAATGAATGCCAAACTGGCCCCTGGGCATACTGACCAAGGGGCTGCCATGATTCCTAGGCCATCAGCATTTAACTTGATGTTCCACTGGGAATTGCAGGGCTGTCTGCCTAGCCTTCATTACCATGAATAATCAAAGTTGGAAGTACGTCAGAGGGCTTCTATGGACATTGTTTTTCACCTACTATAAGGTGATGGCAGTTTGCAGTAAAATTATTTCATGGAAAGTCCCTAGAATGCGCTGATGTAAGCAGCTAACACCAGCCTCTCTAAATCAATCATGTCATGGTTTCAGCCTAATTACTAGAATTGGTGTTCAGACTAAAGAAGTCAGTAAATACCAGAAAGTAAGTTTTATTGCAAATCAGATTGCAGTTCCAGTAAAGTTGTTGTATATGAACAGAAACATGCTGCTTACAGATGTCCTTCAGCCCCAATCCTAAGTAATATATATTACAAAATAAAGGGGGAGGGTGCCCACAAGTGGCGAGGACAGATGCTCCTAGCGAGGCATCACAAATCAAAAGCAAACCTAAATATTCACAAGAGGTATGCCATGACTGGGTGGAATAAAATTGGACAGGCTCAATTTTTAAAACTGCTTTAGGTGACTGTCTTATCCGGGGGGACGGGGGAAAAACTGTCTTCATTGTTAATTCAATGCCTGTTTGCCTTGCATAGAGCAGGCAACCAAGAATGTGAATTAAATGAGTCCTGTAGATACGAAGGGGAAAGTACCCATTTCAAAGAGCTTTCTATCATCCTTATTACCAAGTTCTCTGCTTCCAAATTATAAGGAAGGAAGTCCTGTGACTATCGGGGAGGGGGGGGAATGTGGTGGGTTTACTATGGGAAATTGAATCAAGTTTCCCACACTTATGTCCAGTGTATTTATACAAAACAGGTACCCTGATCTTCTCCCCATTTATTCCCTAATTTCTTTACTCAGATGAGGGAAGATAATGGTTTCTTTGAAGCTGAGAATCTGCTAGGCCTTTTACCTTCAGGCTGTAAGCCTCTTTGAGGTGTGTAACTGTATCTCATATCTAGCATAATAGATGTTCAATAGATAGTTGCATATTCATGTCTTATCTAATGGCCCTGCCAATGAGGTCACGGTCAGCCAATAGGTTTTTTTGATTCATGACTTTATATTCTGGACATTTTTCCATCTCTACAGATGGACGCTTCATCTACAGATGGAATGACCCTCCATTTCTTTCTTAATTTAGTCTCCACTTCTCTCTTCCAGTCCCTTCCTTCTCCTCCTCTGCCTCCCACCACAGTGTATGGTTCTAGGTCTGGTTGCTTTTGGGGAAATTATCCCTTACCTAATTTATATGATTTTAGCGCTAGTGATAAAAATGTATGTACCTAAATCTGAAACCTTTAAAAAAAGTTTGAAAACCTTTAAAAATAACTTTTAAACTTTTTTTTAAACTTTTTAAACTTTTTAAACTTTTTTTCAAACTTTTAAATGTCTGAAACCTTTAAAAAAAAAAGTTTGAAAAGTGTAATTCTTTCCTCCAAAATTATTTTATTTTTGAAAAAAAAAAGTTTTTTAAAATGAACCTCAGGTGTACCAAATTGGACTGATCTAAATTCTTACTTTGAGACACATTATCTATTGGTTCATGCATAGTCACATTTTAAAAACATTTTATTTATTTATAAACACAACAAACCCTTGTGAACACACTGCCTGACACAAACACTAGAACATTGCCAGTAACTTAAATAGATTAGCCTATGTGTTCCAGTTCCCCTGCCTCCAATGCACAGGAGCCACTATCCTGAACCTTGTCTTTATCTACGATCCCCATGCTTTTTAAAATGTGGTTTTAATCACATTTATGCCTAAATGATATTTTGTTTAATTGCTTTTTAAAAACTTCTTGGAAAGGATATCCTGTTGTCCAAGGTTCTATAGCTCTTGACTTTGTCATTCAATAATACGTTCCCATAATTATTCATGAATCTCCTTTTGTCACAAAATAGAAAATTTGTCACAAAATTCAAAAAAGAAAGAAATGAAGAGAAAAGAAAGAAAGAAAAAGAGAGGAAGAAAACGCTTATATATTCTCCCACTGTGAATGGTATGACCCTAAATTTAGGTTATATTAAACCAGGCAACATCACCTGCAGAATAATAAATCTAGAGTAAAACATCAGGAGTTCTCTCATTTATTCTCAGTATCTTCAAGTAAGACTAACACAAGAATAACTAACCCATTAAGATTCATCTATGTGTCATGTTGTTCAGTAATACTTTCCATCGTTTTTTAAATAAGGTAGAGTGCCAAAAATATTTTACATTAATCTATGTTGAAACTTACCGTGCATCTCTTTAATATAATATTAATAATTTTATTCAAATAATGATTCTAATTGTTCCTTTTAGCCTCATATCTGGTTTTTCAGCTCATGTAAATACATCTAAGAAAGATATTTCTCCTAGAATTTCTGGCACAAACAAGCCCTCGAATTTTCTAGGTAAGTTTTCTAGGCTCAACACCATAGCAACACAAGATTAAACTCCCTGGACTCTTTTGGGGCTGCTCACAGGAACCCAGTCTTTGAATCATCAGAGACTCAAGCTTTTTTTTTTTTTTTTTTTTTTTTGAGACAACAGTCTCACTCCTTTGCCCAGGCTGGAGTGCAGTGGCGTCAACTGGACTCACTGCAACCTCCACCTCCCTGGTTCAAGCCATTCTCCTGCTTCAGCCTCCTGAGTAGCTGGGACTACAGGCACATGCCACCAAGCCCGGCTAACTTTGTATTTTTATTAGAGACAGGATCTTGCCATGTTGACCAGGCTGGTCCTGAACTCCTGGCATCAAGTGATCTACCCACTTGGCCTCCCAAAGTGCTGGGATTACAGGTGTGAGCCACCACACACAGCCTCAACCATTAATAATCTAAGCCGATCCTCTCACACTGTAGTTGCCAACTCACCACTGAGCTGCAGCATCAAATCCAATCTGGCCATAGAGGTCCACTCTGCAAGCCCATGGAAAGCCAGGCAGCACCTTGTTCTCCAGCTGGAAGATTTGGACTCTCATGCACCATATCCCTCCTGCCAGGCAATTTGTGCAGCAGCATGGAGTCCTGGTTACTAAAAAGAAAAAAAGAAAAAAAAAAAAGGCCTTTTGGATATCCTCCAAAGCTGATGTTGAAGTTCTGGCAGTATGGGAGCTCCATCTGAGACATCAGAAATAAAAATTACAGGAGGAATTGCTGGAAAAATCCAGACTCCAGTTCTTGTCCTAGTAATAGTATAGAGGAAGTGTTAAACAGAGGCTGTGATTCTAACAAAAGAGGGAAGGTTTCTTCGTTTCCCATAGCCTCAATGAGAAAGTGGAGCTAAGGAAGCAACTTTTAGATGAATTTCTTTGGTTTTGCAATTACATACTCCTTGAGTGTTTAGCCAACACACCTGTTTATCACTCAGCATTCTAATAGAAGCTAGAGATGACAGAAAAACGAGGGAAACTCAAATTTACTATATGCCCACCACTGTGCTAGACGTTTTCTCTTTTATAGATGAAGTAACAGGGGCTCAGACAAGTTAGCTAACTGCCATGCTGTGTAGTGCCAGAGCCAGGTCTCAGTGCAAAGCCTGTGTTCTTTTCATAATATCATTGTTTACCAATAAAAAAATTAGAATCTAATTGAGAATAAAGGCACAAGAATAAAAGAAGCATGGTGTCTCCACTGACAACCAAGGAAGTTGGACTGGAGGAAAATTGTCATCAGAGTGAAGCAAAAAGAGGTGGAATCCATGGAGAAAGACACGTAACCAGTGTTCAAGCTCAAGCTAGTGGTCATTAGGAAATAGTACAGAGGCTTGAGTAGGATGGCTTCATTAGAGATAGGTATTAGAGAAACTGATCTGATTACAGTGGCCCAGATTTGATAGCGGTGGTCATAGGAATGGAGAGGAAGTGTCCCACAGAAGATCCTGTTTTTGTTTTCCCACAGCATGCTAGAACATGATATATGGTAAATAAATTCTCTGCAATGATGGAGATATTGTAAAAGAAGGAATGACAGAATACAATTTAAAAATATATAGTCGTTCCAAAAGTTAGAGAATTATCTTGCTGTCGAAGAAAGGGAAAATAATAAAACAAGCTAACAGGCATTTTCAGCTATTAGCCAGGCCAGCTCAAAGTGCTTTTATATACATTAACTAAATTAATATTCATAACAGCCTGAGAGGTGGATACTATTATTATCCTCATTTTATAGGTGAGAAAACTGAGGCATGGGGAAATTAATAATTTGCCCTGATTTCACGCAGTTAATGAGAATTAGAACCAGGCAGTCTGGCTGCAGAGTTTCCATCTTAACTTCCATGTGCAAGACTTAATGTATGAACACCAGGGCAGAGAAAGTCTCTCTCCTTTTGATGGGCTTCCAATGTATTATGGAAACTCAGAAGAGGGTTAGATTTTATAAAGAGTTGCAAGACATACAGGTGATATGTGGACATGCTATGGATATGCAATATAAGTGAAATATTCCAGGGACATATTCAAAGAGTGTGTTACTACAGCTGACACCTAGAGCTGGGCACTACAAAAGACACTAGGTAACTATGAAGCACGTTTCTCCATCCTCCATTGACTGGAGCCATTACAAAGCTTGCTTATAGGCTATGAAACACATTGCACAGGCTACAGTTTTGTGAATTGCTTTGAACTGACCTCTAGTTTTGTTTATATGTTTATCACCCCCAGCTAAATTTTAAGATCTTCAAAGACAGAACCTGTTCCTTTGGTCTTTTTGGTATCCTCAGTGTCTATCGCCAATCTATACACAGAGTTGGTAGTTAATAAATACTTTTCTAGCCTACAAAATGTTTTTGCAGCATAACCTAGGAAAAGACTGTTTTTAATTATGCAACAGCAACTCACCACACAGTTACTGTTTATCTATTCTGTCCTCATCTGCCCTGCTGGTTGGAACAGTTGCAGTTAGAAAGAGAGATATAGAAGAGAGTAGAATTTCAAAAATTGTGGAGAATATAATTATTTTGGATTCCTTTTCTTTATTTCTTTGGGATCAATTACTAAAAATATTACAGTGTTCTTTTAGTGGTGTCATGCTTCCTTGCTTTTTCGTGGTTCTTATGGCCTTGCATTTGATGTCTGTGCATTTGATGGAGTAGTCACATTTTCCAGACTTTACAGTCTGGGTTCAGTGGTGAAAACTTTTACCTGCAGGTGGGTGTGAGGGTATTGGTTGGATGGGAGTGCAGCAGCTTTGGTTCTGAGTGGGCAGCTGCAGCAGTGTAATCTCTGTACAGCTTTATCAGCTGAAGTCAGTCCTGGCAAAGATTGCAGGTGTTTGTGACAGAAGCAATGGTAGCATGAGCTGTTGGGATCCTTTGTGGTAGAGATTGGTTGGGTTTTTTTTTCACAATGGAAAATTCTAGCCAAGGGGATGCCTCTTGGCACCAGATCTGACATGGCCCACAGGTAGCCACGGCTGTACCAGTTTCCAGGGTGTAGGTTCTCAGAGGAGCTGCTGAGCTGGGGTCCTGGGCTCAGGAGCTTAAAGAATTACTGTGGTACTTGGAACCCGAGGCATGAGTAAACTTTCCAAGGCACTGGCATGTGCAGATCCCTCATAGATCATCTTTGATCATTCTTCATGTATTATGATTCAACCTAGAATGACATCTAACTTCCTCTCCTCTTAGCTTTTTCTCTGTTTACATCAATGATAGCAAGTGACATAAAAATAAATAAGGTTTCATGGTAACTCTAATTCAGTCACTTGATTCTGAGCACCAACATGTTTTCTGGCAGGTTTTTCTGGAGTGTGAAAAAGAGTTGTGTGAGCAGCAGGGAAATCAATGTTCTCATCTCACTAGAAACTCTGGCCTGCTCCTGCATAGCTGCATGGCACCAGGATTTCAGGAGAACAACTTTTTGACTCCTACAAATGGGTCTTGACTTTCAGTAACAAGGGGTTAATTTAGATGGACATCAGAAACCAATTCAGGCCCCCAGTGAGTGAAAAAGAGCCAGGAAAGACTTCAGAACCATCAGTTCCTTCTGCAGAAGGCTGTTTCTGGTTTTCTACCAGTCTGTTTTTCTGTTGTGTTTTCTACTTTTTAATTTGCCCCTCTGCTCAAGCAGCCTACAGCCCATATGAATGAGAGAGTTTTTAAAATGTTTTCTTAAATAAACATTTTATAAGATAGTACATATAACTTCTGCACCTTGAAAAGCTTTACAAAATCTGTAGGCTTTGAGCATGCAGACTAACAGTAAGGCAGAAGTAGATAGGAAAGAAGGGACAGGCTCTTTGCTACTCTCCCCAGCACACACCTTTTCTGATCTCTCAGCTTGTATCTACAGCCATTATGGAAGTGGGTAAAATAGAGCAGAGAACTTCTAAAATAGGCTGTGCAAGGCACTGAGTACTGAATAATGATATTAGGAAAAAAAGGAGGAAGAGTATGAGTGCACTATTGCTCAGGTGCATCTGTAGAAAATACTTGTGTTTCATTTATGAACTGTCTTCTAGTGAACTGCCACTGCAGGAATCCTGTTCCTTTTTTGTGTGTATATTTTCTATAGCCTAATGTTTTAAAGGGATAAAAGACATATTGTCAAAAAGGAAATAATATGCTACTTAATCAAGCATACATCTAGACCAGAGGATGGAGCAGACCAACCCTTTTTTTTTCCTCTGAAATTGCTTATCATGCTATACTGATGTCACCTCGGCTCGTTGTCAAGGATTCTCTACTCTCTTTTTTTTCCCATCTCCATCCCTTTTATCTGACTACACTTTCATTCCTCTAGCCCCATTCCAAGGTACTGGATTCCAATCATGTTTTTCTATTGAGATTCCTCACCTTCTTCTCATAGAGCCAGGGAGAGTGAGAGAAAGTGGGAGGGCTTTAAGTTCTTCAGTTCCTTTGAAGTAAAATGTTTATTAGGTAAACACACTTCTGCCTCTTGTAGTATAGACTACTTCTTTCAGCATACTGCTAGGGTGTTATTATTGTATGGCCCCTTTTCTCTGCTGTGTCAAATATCTACTTCTGTTGCTCTGGTTTGACATAGGCAACGCTCAAGGAGAGGAATGAGCCAGACCCTTTCCCCAGCCCCAACAAAGAAGGTGCAGATGGGGGAGGAAAGCCCTTCCTATCTGGTGTACTCTGAATTCCAGTGCAAGTGTTTCATTAAAGCTCACCAAATAAGATATAATTTTCATAATAGTTAGAAAATTCAGGTTGCCACGTTTTTCCTGTGTGTTAATGCCGAGAAGACATGGAATATACTAGTTATGCCAAACAGACTATTTGGTCAAGATGGTAGAAAAATGGAATTGGGGCAGTGGCTGAAAGTGTCAATAGCCAATGACAGAAGCCATGGGCAATTCCCCTTTCTTGGGGTTTTAGCCTTTGCTGCTGAGAGGTTTTCCTGCCTTTTACTGTGGACCACATTTGTAAATCCCTGTGCAGTACCAGGAACTCAATACCCGTTAACTTCTTAATCAGTAGAAGACAATCTTTGCAAATTTGAAGGCTGTTTGGAATTAAGGGCAGTTATACCAAGTTAGAGAATATAACAACAAGCAGAAGTGGTATTAGAACAAACACTCTTTAAAAGGTTGGTTTCTAAATATCCTGTGTTTTTCCTAAGTCATAAAATTGTGCCATTTTTTTCTTCAGGAGACACATTCAGAAATAAATGTGTCTCTAAAGCAAATACTGCCTGTGAAGCTGGAAATACTAACCCGAATCATCCTCTTTTTCCAGAGTCTCAAGGGGCTGAGGCAATATCAGTAATGGAGACGCTCAGATATGGGCAAGACACACATTTAACAAGTCCTATGAAGGAAAGCATGTTTGCTATGTCACTATGCTCTTCAAAGTCAACTGGGATGATGGCAAAGGGCAACTGCCTTGCAATCCTTTATTTTAGTGCAGAAAAACATCTTCAGTGGTCAGAATTACTCACTTGACTCGAGGAAGTTTTCAAAACATTTCTAAATATCATAATTCACCATTATAGACACCGTGTTATTAGAGAAAAGAAAAGTATTAAGATAGAATAAGAGGTCAAACTGTCCTGTATTAAACATGTCATCACAACAGAGAAAATGTTGCAGTAACCTGACCTTTTTGTTTCAAATGAAAATCAAATATAAGCTTTTTCTGTTACATTAGCAATCATGTAATTCTCTAAAGGTGGCTTTTAAAAAATGAGAGGATTCAACATTTCCTAGTACATGCTAGGAACATTGTTAAATTGAATCTTTTCTTTTTATGAATAGAATGACATTTAGTCTTTCTGAGAAGTGCTGCTTTGGGGGCTGATGACCATGATGGGCATGTATTAGTTGACCAGTTTGCATAGAGAAAACATTCAACTTAATAAGCATTTCTTGGTTCAGTATTTTTGGCCACCTACTATGTGTTGAACAGAGTGAGTGATAAGAAATGAGTACAGGATTCAGGGGATGTTTTTTATAGTGAGACAGCCAGGTGGGAAGTGGTCCGCACGGAAACTCCAACCAGCCTGTGCACTGGGAGGAGTGCACACTTGGGCGGAGCCACAGAAGTTCGCGCTATTTGCAGTGGGGAGGAGCCTGGCCCCTCCTCTTCCTGGGTGGAAACTGGAATTCAAACTGTGAGGCAGGAAGCACACTAGCAGGACCCTAGCCTTATGGAGAATTCATGTTTCCCTATTTTTTGTTT
Source organism: Homo sapiens (assembly GCF_000001405.40). Taxonomy (NCBI): domain Eukaryota; kingdom Metazoa; phylum Chordata; class Mammalia; order Primates; family Hominidae; genus Homo; species Homo sapiens. The sequence continues at coordinate 100,118,612 of NC_000006.12, read as the reverse complement.
CTTGTTTTTTTTTTTCCTTTTCACCCAACAAATCCCATTATTCTCACCCTTCAAATTGTCTGGGAGCCTAATCTTTTGTGGTCACGTGACAAGGATCCCGTCTTTAGCCAAACTAAGGAAAAGTCCCTCAACAATAGGAATGTAATCTTGTTGAAAAAACAATAAATACCAAAAAAAAAAAAAAAAAGAAAGAAAGACAAGGTAGAATATGGAATAGAAATAATAGATGCTGGTGGTAGATATTGCAATGAAGAGAGAAGGGATGTTAAGGGAGACCTTGAATTTGGCAAGAGGGTAGGGAGGCCATCCTGAGTGAAATGTCAGAGGGCAAGAGAACATGGCAGATGATGGGACGCAGTGAAGAGCCTTGAGAGATGAGGTCCCCATTAGGAGGGGCCAGATGATAAGAAGTTTTAATCCTAGAAACAGGAATTTTTCAATTGATCTTATAAACAAATAGTCATGGTAGGTTTTTCAATCAGTGAAATGAATCATGCCAGTTGGGAGCAGTAGCAAGTAGAATAGACTCAAAGAAAGAGCATCTGCAAACATGAAAATTTAGAGGACGGTTTTCACAGTAATATACCCATTAAGTGATTAAGGTCTAGGGTAGAGTCCACGGAATCAGAAAGAAAAAATAAAACTGAAAACATGAGGCAAGGACCGATCTGACAGAGTTTGAAGAAAATGAAGTGCTGAAGATCAGGTCCCAGCATCGTGTCTGCCACAGTGAATATTCAGTGGATGGTGTTTGAATGGGTGACTAATAAGTAAATCTCAGGTTCTGAGTCTAGGTGACTAAAATATTGATAGACAGACAAGAACATCATAAGCATCTTCAAATAGGCTTAACTGTCTCGGAGACTACACAACATTGACATGATGGCTACTCAAAGTCAGTTCATTTAATTCAGTATATCCAGTTTTTAAAAAATCAAACTGGTATGTAGAAGAGCCAGCAAGCTTTTGAATATTTCCTTTTTCATCTAGTTGTTTTTGATGTTGTGGAGACATTCAATGACAAATACAGAAAGAGGAGACTGATTAGGGTTTGTGGAAAGTGCTAACCTTTCCTATATTTTCTTTCATTACAGAAAGATTGCTGGTTGATCTGACTGTATGTCCAATTAGTAAATGCTTTCCATAGGTTCATTTGCTAAGGCCAAAAATAAAAAGGACTTTTCAAAGAACACCATGCCATTTTCCCTAAACAAGCTCTTTCTGCCGGGGAAGTCTTGCTCACCTTTCACCAGCCTTCTGAATGTCTGTTACTCCCTTCTCCCCTTCTGCTTCTGGCTTAAAAACACTTTTTTATTGTTATTACCTTGGCTCAAAGCTTCTGTAATGGTTTCTTGCTTAAGCATAAGGACATAGAAATTAGAGCAATGGTCACAACAGCACAACATGGCTGATATGAAGGACTGGAAATGCTAGTTGGTAATGAGAAACAAGCAGACACAATGAATTACATTAATCCAGAAGTCACAGGTTATGACCTCATTCTTATAACTCTATGTTGTTTTAAGTCTATAAACTTTCATATTTACTTACAAGGGAGTATTTAAATATGTAAGTCAAAACAAGCAATAGTCAGAAGCTGGAAGAGATCATTAATAATTTAATACATCTTGACTAGTTCCAGATTGGAGGTACCATATAAATGTTTATTCCTGGATCAATTTGGTTTTGGTAGTTACTATATTTTTAGTTCTAATTAAAAACACACTAGAGGAGGATTTGAAAGCTAAGAAGGTGCTGCCACCTGGAGGATTTTTTCTGCCCATTTGGAGTTTTGCCTTTACCAAGCAAGGGCAGACTAGTGGTCGTAATCATTCTACTCTGTAAAGAAACCGAGCTCTCTGGTTTGGGATATCACAGAACAGGGAGACAAGCAGCCTGGTAACTGATGGCACTTTACATTTTTCAGCCATATGTTTTAGTGTCAGATGCCACAGGCACTGGGGTGAGGTGGCCTTTTGTATTCTCCTCACTGGTAACTGCTTAGACTCACATGAGCCTTTTACACAGTTCCACTTCCCATGAACAATATAGAATGCCTAGAGAAAGAAAAAAGGTTTTTATTTCCTCGAGGTTGAAATTGACATGAAATGAGTAAATAACTTAAAATATAGACATAATCGAAGAAAAATAATTATAAAACCCTAACCTCTCCAACTCTCCCAAACTCTACCAATTCTTTCAACATTAATTCTGTATGTTAGGACAACAGCGCTCTAAAAATCCTGCTCAGAAAACAGGAGTTAGGAATGGATGGGATACTATTCTTAAATTTGCAATAAGGGGCAAAATGGTTGCCAAATTCATTATCATTTACAGATGAAAAGACAATGTGACATATCACCAAAGGTGTTCTTTATTGACTGGTCCCCTTTGCTAAAGCTTTAGTTCTTTGTACATTAGGTTGATATATTTTTAAAAAATAATCTTAAACAGTAGACTGTTAATTTGGGTTTTTTTGGCGGGGGGGTATTCCTTGGTTTTTAGAAGCCCTTTCCATTAACCCTTTAGTGCATTCTCCATGAATTCTTTAGCCTGATGTTCACCAAGGTGCCTGCTTCTGGCATGCTGAGAAAAAGAGGACTTGAACTTCTATTGAACCTGAGGTCTCAGCACATCTATGGGGCAGAAATGTTCCATTTCCCCATTAAAAAGCTTTCATTTGTAAGCCGCAGATGAAATTTCATCTGCTTTGCATCAGTCTAGTTTATAACCCTAGAGAACTTGGCACCACAACCCTCAAACCCATTATTGGTATTTTCCCTTCTGATGGGAAATAATACATTAACAACTTGGTTTTTGTTTATTTTGTTTTTGCTTTAAAAAAATGAAACACATTTCATGTGTTGCCCTCACATTTTTTTGTTTCTCATTCAAAGCTTTATTCTGGGCTCCTTTCAACTGTGCATCTCTGGAATGACAGACATATGGGGTTTCTTGGTTTGTTGTTGTTTTTGTTGTTTTTCATTTTGTTGGGTGGGGATGGTTTCTGATCTTCATTTGCATTGCCAAGCAACCTGGAACTCTATTGGCAGTTACAAAAGCTCTCTTGGATTGCTAAATTCATTTCCATTGGAAACACAGTTTTACATATAGGAAAATAAAATGGCATCTTTTAAGTTTTCCCTCCAGAAAATGTAATCATGAAAAAATATGCTCTCTCTTGTTGCTGATTCTCATACTACAAAAATGCTACCCAGTAGGCACTTAATTGACCCATAAAATGTAGATAAACTTGATGGGTCCAAAACCATTTTGATTGGAGAATGACAGCCGCATGAAGGAGTCCATCAGGATCACTGCAAGGCACATCTATTCAATAATAAGCTTTTTGATGACAGGAGCTGGTCTCTTGCATTTAGGAAATACTTATTGATTAAGGAATGTAGAGGAATGAGATAGAAAACAGGAGAAAGGAAAAAGAGGTACTTGCTGGAAAGTGGTTGAGAGCCACCAACAATTAACAGTGGCATTGCTAGAGAGCCCTGGGCCACTGTGGAAGGCCCATGCAGTGGGTGCCCATCATCAGCCCCTTCATAGAGCAAGATTTTTCAGAATTAATCATTTTTATTTCTATAGTGTAGAATGTAAAAATGATTGTGAAATGAATGCAAAATTAGCTGAAATAAACCCCAATCAACTCTCACAGAAATTTCTTTGCCTTTGCCTTTTTTTTGGCTTGGTTTATTTTTATTGAGCCAAGGACTTGTAATATGGCCATTCTGTTTTCTGATTCAACATTTGTGTGGTGAGTACAGAGAGATGGTTTGGCCACAAAGTAGTTGGCTGAATTGAATATATTTTACCATAAAAGAGAGGGTAAATTTTTGCCAGAAGTATAGTATAGACATATTCCTATCAAATGACACTTAAAAAGCAAAATGATCAGCTTATTCTGCAAAACTAAAAAAAAAGGAAAGGGAAAAATGCAATTGTTGAGCTTCTTGACAAATTTAGTCACAAGATATAATGAATACTGAGACTCATATTCCAAATTGTGTTATGCCCCAACATCAGATACTTTTAAAATATTTTAATATTTAACTCAATGACCAAATAAATTGTTATCCATTCTGTCTTTCTTCTTCATCTGAAAACAGAAATAAAATACGACATAGTGTAGCTGCCAATACAGACTTCTAGAATTATGAGAATTTCAAGATAAACAGTTAACCATATGAATGTGTATATCACTAACCTTAAAAAGCAATAATAGAATAATGGTAACTATAAACAAAGTACCATGTTAGATGCATTAGATACATCATCTCATTTAGTCCTCCCAGCCCATTCAGGAAGTCCTTGTTATTCCATTTCACCCTGACACTTATAGGGATTTAACTGGCCCAGAATTGTACAGTAGTGGATGCCAGATCAGAATTCAAACACCTGGAGCCTAACACCAGAAATCACCCTGCGAACAACCACACAGTAAAGATCATCCTGTTGTATTCATTTGATTATTCTATTTCCATTTCAAGACTCTGTTTACACTGATTATTAACCTTAGCACATTTTGTCCTTTAAATAGTGCATTTTGGTGTGGTGTCTGTAGTACCTAAATTTGCTTGAGGGATGTTCTGAAAGAATCTGCTCAGGTTTTTGTTTTGTTTTGTTTTGTTTTGTTTGTATTTGTTTTTGTTTTCCAAGTTACATTGAACAAGGAAACAGAGTCATTTAAACTACTTAACCTCTAAAAAGTCAAAAAAAATTTATTTCAAATAAACCAAGTTGATAGCATAGTTTTAAGTCCAAAAAAAAGAATACAGAGTTAAAAAACTGGCAGTTGAGAAATATATTCATTCTGTCACTCCATTAAAAAGCTTCCCCCCGGGGCCGGGCTCGGTGGCTCATGCCTGTAATCCCAGCACTTTGGGAGGCTGAGGCAGGCGGATCACCTGAGATCAAGAGTGCAAGACCAGCCTGGCCAACATGGTGAAACCCCATCTGTACTAAAATTACAAAAAAAGTTAGCTGGACATGGTGGTGTGTGCCTGTAGTCCCAGCTACTCGGGAGGCTGAGGCAGGAGAATTGCTCGAACCCAGGAGAGGGAGGTTGCAGTGAGCCAAGACTGTGCCATTGCACTCCAGCCTGGGTGACAAGAGTGAAACACCATCTAAAAAAACAAACAAACAAACAAACAAAAAACTTCCCCTAAAAAAAGGCTTAAGAAAAAAACTGGAAAATTTGTTTGGAGTTTCATAATATTGGCAACAGCTACCATCATTCTGGCTTTTTAACTGATTTTTGAGCCAAGAAAAAAGATCCCTAGAACATAGTCCTATTGGTATTTGCAGCATGTCCCTTACTACTTTGTCATAGAAAAAACAAAGATCGCTACATAAACCGATTGCCCACAACTTACCCATATGAATCCTCATAGCCTCAATCTTCTTACAAATTCATATCATGTGCTCTAATTAATGAGCACTGTTGTCGTTTGCCTTTTACATGTGTATCATTCATTGTAGACGTTAAGTACCACAACGAGCAAAGAGAGAGGGTTGAAAGAGTTCCATAAAGATTTTTCACGGTTCACATACCAGACAGGCGTATGCAAGGTCGATTTACAACAGGGGGCAGAGGTTACAATGAGAGCCTTTCCCCTAATTTTATTTAAAAAAAAATAAGCACAGTGGAATTAGGAAGTCTTTTTCAATGATCTCATTAAAGGCTTTACTTGGTAGGTAAATATAACATACAATATCAGTTTTTCTTCAACTAAACTAACTAATAAATAAAACCTTTTGGGAGTTTTGTTATTATATAATAAAAGACAAATTTATGAGGCATTTTTTTGGTCTAAAAATGACCCACTTCATGCTTCTTACCCACTATAGGTCGTAAAAAGAAAGTTCGGGTTTGCAGAGACTACACACATGCATATTTTGCATCAGGAAAAATAAAAGAAGCTTGAGACTCTTCAAAAGTAAGACAATAATTAAACGCAGAACCTCAAATTGTTTTTCTTCTTAAAATTTCTATCTTGTTTACATTATACAGGGACTCCCTTCTGATATTTCCCACAGAACCTCAGGAAATATCAACACTCCCGCCCTTTCTGAAGTTTCCTTGGCTTCAAGTGGCTTACGATTCTTTTCATGTTTCCCATAAGCCCTGGGAAAATATAGCAACATTTTCATCAACTGAAATTTGCATATCAAAGTTGTGAAGACCATGATATCATTCATAGACTGTGTATAAAATATTGGGTTCCCTGAAACATTTGTCTATTTTAAAAATCACATGAATGCAGTCTAATTTTAAATTATACTTGGTCGAGGGTGTTTTGGGTTGCTTGGAGTTTTATTTATGTTCTAGCGATTATGGCCACAGTTTGAATAAGTTTTCTTGCCTGTGAAGAGCTTGGTCTGATGAAAGGGATAAATCACCTCTTATCCATGATGCTGCATACAATGTGACATAAGCCACCTTGCTGCTTATTCTGGGCACTTCATTATTCCCATTGCTGTCAGACTCCTTGGTAATCCTATTTTAAAAGCCCAAGCAAACTTGAAGAGTCACAGAGCATTGAAGAGACAAGCCAACAAACTTGAAGAGACACTTTCCTGAAAGGTAGTTGGATAAGCTACTTCTTGTTTCAGACAAGTCTAAGTCACTTGGCCTAGTCGTACCCTTAATTTGGCCATTCTGAGATGAGCAAACACACCTTCCCTTCAGCTAGTTTTGAAGTGTGCATTTCCCCACATATTTACCCTGGCCCACTCATCAACACACTTTCCTTTCTGACAAAGTGTTGCTGCTTTTGCTCCAGCCTCCTGGCCCATATCCTGAGTTCTCCATAGGAAATGAGTCCTGGGATGTTCAAAATGCGTGTCTGCCTCACACATAATTGCAAAGATCTTTTCTAACTGGAAAATATCTTTGAAATACTTATTCTAAAAGAATTTCACTTAGAAAATAGCTAACAGCAACTTTCATTAGTATGTTCTACTGAAATGTCTTTCAGCTTACACAATAAAAGCAAAGAGAAAAACAACCCTTTTTCCACCAAAGACAAAGATTAAACAACATCCACAAGAGGTGGTGGGATAACGGTGTAAAAAGCCTTAAGTAGGACAAAGACCACTTATTAGACTGGATGATGTTGAGCAAATGTTTAAACCATGCTGTGCCTCAGTTTTCTCATCTAAAAAAATGAGGAATTAGGCTAGGTAACTATGAAATCTCTGTCGAGTATAGTTTCAATATTAAACTTTATAAATACAACAGAAAGCCCAGCTTTGATATTTGACTATGTCTCTTATGCACACATACCTGTCCTTTTTTCACGTATTTTCTATAGCATGTTATGTGATTTTTCTATAAAAGCGCTTCTCCTTTAGTTCTTTTCTTATAACTAAATCATGCAGGTAAATCCAATTAGGGGCAGGCCTTCTCTCTCTGGGCACCAGCAGAGCAACCAGCTGCTGATCATTAGAGTCCCTCCAGATTCAGGTAGTTCTTCAAAAACTAATTAGAGTTCTTACATCAGAATTTTGAACAAAGAGACATTGTGTGAGAATAACTCCAAAGCAATATGGACAAAATGATAACCACCTTTATTAGACAGCTAAATAAAATATTGAACAAATTACAGTACCTGCAAGTGATTAAACAGTTGGCAGCTGCATTTTTTCCCTCCACATATCCCTCCTTGTTGAAGAGTTAACCCATCTCAGCCTATTTCTTCTGTCTTCTTGAGCATCTTCTTCACGAGACCCTCATGAGTTAGTTGTGCAGTAGGTTAGGTCTCTAGGACACTGTCTATCTGAGCTACTATAAATGCTGAGGACACAACAGATCCCTGCTCCACCGATATCTCTCAGTTCCCAGCCTTTATGATTATTGGAGCTATTGGTGGGAAATTCTTATAACTTCTATGCTTCTTCCTCCTTGTCTGCTTTTGGGTGCTCTCTCCTCTATTCTCTGCTCCCCTCTGCTTAGAATATCTGAGACAGTGCCTTCTCCATGCTGTGCACTGCCCTGCATGGGAAGTGGCTCCTTCAGCTCTCCTCCTTCCCTTTTCTTCAGCAGAGGTAGGTGATTATCCATAAAACAAGGGGCTAAAGTAGGGGATCAAGTAAAGAAGGCAATCATCTGGGGTTGCCTACAAATATTCTCTCATCTTTGTTTTTGGGGACTTACTGAAGATGAGAAGCTACTTGCCAATCAGATGATGTTTTGTTAGGAAAGGACAAATTTGAGGGGCATGGCAACATGGGAAAAAATAGGAAATATAGGAAAAAATGGGAAAAACATAGGAAGCCAGAGAAAGTCTGTCTGTAATTCATTTTTCTTTGTTTGAAGCATTCCCAGACCATAGCAAAGCCCACTGACTCTTAACCCTTTCCTTACCAGTTAATTCAGATAACAATTATAGAACTGCTTATATTAATTATAGGACACTTACACAACACTTACTATGTACCAGGCACTGTTCCGAGTGCTTTTATTCATTCTCACAACCATCCTTTGATGAAGGTTCCATTATTATCCTCATTTCCCAGATGGGGAGAACGTGGCCAGAGTTAAGCAATTTGTCCAAGGTGAAAGGGTAGCAAACAACAGAGCTTGGCTGTGAAATTAGGCAGCCTGGCCTCAGGGTCTACATCCTTACACTCTTTGCACTCTCCTGACTTTCCATATGGGTTTCAGATGCATAGTTTGCTTGGAATCATGGTGTGTGCTGGTGAAGGAGAGAGAAAGGGAGGATGGAGATGATTTAATTTCATTGAATAGCAAGTAATTGCCTGGATCCTCTTTCCTCTTTTCAAAATAAACAAATGATTGACATAAGCCCATCTTATGTGGGGAGGGAGGCTGTTTGTTTGTTTAATTTATTTGTTCTTATAAAGCTAACACTGACAGGTCTACTGCTCCAAAACTACATCTTTATTTGGGCTAGAAAAGTAAGCTTTTCATCTGCTTTGGTGATGGGTACAGCCACCTTAAGAAGGTTCCATGGGAATAATGAAAAGTATTAAAACATGCATGATGAGAACAGGAAAGGACTTGAATATATTACAGGAAAGAAAACTCAGGCCTAGGGAAATGAGGAGACCTGCTCCTTAATTAGCAAAGTCTGTTTGTGATAGAACAAAATTAGAAACACTGATTTATCGTTCAGAGCTCTTTCTAGAAATGAGCAATTCCTGTTATCTGGTAGAAGTGCCATTATCTAAAATAAATGTTATAGCCCCATCAATGGGCTTACATTTTTAATAACAATATGTACATATATTTTTCCTTTCTTTTCTACCATCAACGTAAGAGGCAAAAGAAAATGTTGATGAGGAACCAGCAGTGGTAGCCATGGCATCTCTTTTGTCCCCAACACTGAGGAGGCAATTCCTTTATTCCGTCACCTGTCCCAGAGGTGCCATGGCAGAAATTTGAGTAGGGGGGATATGGTGAAGAAGGCAGAACCAGATTCACCATCTGTGCATTAGCAGTTGACTTGCTCAACCTAGCAATATTCATGATGCCTTTTCCTTTAGAAATTTATTTAAAGTAGGGTATTTTACCAGGTCCTTTAAAGTTATCCAACCTCTCTGGAGTTGAATCTGGAGAGGAAGACATCTTTAAACAAATACTCCCTCTGTCCCCACATCATTAGCCTCAGATTCCTAAGGGAAATAGGCAAATAACCTGGTCATTCAATCACTAGATTCTTCTGTGTACTTTTCCCAAAGATGGGCAATAAAACTCCTGATGCCAAAGAATACTTTTCTACTATGAAATTCTTTTTAGATTATTTGCCTATGAAAAAATGCCCTCCTCCCTTCTTTTTTGTATTTAAGCACAATAAAATCCCATGAGGTAAAAATTGGAGAGTTTCCATAATACATTTCTTTACATAAAGTGATATGGTTTGAATAGACTATCTGGTTTTATATATATTAGGATTGATCTTATTCCAGTATAAAGGGTTGAACTATATTATCAAGAGTATTCTAATACTACTCAGGTCTTTTTCTTCATTTCAGTTTGATGACTTAATACTTTCTGTTGAACTGCACTGAATTGATTAGCATTTTTAAGAGTTTCATGATGACTACATAATAGAAAGGCATCAATCCACTGATTGACCACACTGTCTCTCCCTAAAAATTGACCACGGAGACACCTACACTACAATAATTTAGGGGCTGGGGGTTAAACTGAAAGGTCAGATAGAAGCAGGGCCAGGTATAGTGACATGGCACATGAAAGCCAGAGCAGGCCAAACGTTACGGAGAAAACCAAATTGAATAAATGAGGAAATACGACTTCAGATGAATAGAGATAGCAGTTCTATTGTTTCCTGAGTACTGTCAATTCCCAGCTCCCACCTTCAAAAATGCATCTTCTTTCTTCATGTTCCTTAAGCTATTGCTGTAGCCTTTAAATTACTCGTTGTTAGTTTAAGCCAGTGCAGTAGGCTTGTGGGTTTTTTTTTCGTTTTCTACCAAACTCTAACTAGAAAGTCTGTATTATCACCCATGTAGAAAAATTTTGTTTGTTTTGTTTAATCCTACTTTCACAAAAATAGTGAAACATCGGAATGTCGATTGGGAAGAAGCAAAGAGTTAAATGCTTCCAGATTTTGGAAAATTCTTTATTTGCAATGTTTCTGCACCAAATCTATGTCTATTTGTAAAATCAGATTAATTAGCAATATGCTTAGGTTGAGTTCTGCTACCATCATGGTGGTCATTTGTTAAGCAGGAAGTAAATGCAATTTCAAGCTTGAGATTAATTATTTGGTCAATTTCAATCTGTAGTCATTAAATAGAATCTCAGCACTCGATGTTTCCAAACTTGAATGTATGCTACATTTTGAAATCAGAAATATCTAAATGTACAAAGCAAAGATGCACACGCAGACAAGCCTACATATGCGTACACACCCAGATACACACACACACACACACACACACACACACACACACACACACACACACACACAATTTAAAAGTAAGCAGCACCACACAGTGGTCAGATAGGGAATAGTTACTGTTTAACAGCAGCACCCCTGGAGATAAAGGACTGGTTCTTTGTTATTTTTCCAGAGCTCAGATGTGATCAATGTGGTGTCAATTTCTGTGAAAAAAAAATAAATGTTATGTTTTCACTTCTTAACCTCTTGAGAAAAATAATTGTTGGCTAAATTTCAACCTTATTTACAGATGAAAATGCTAACAATGAAAAATACTTGTCATATTTTACCATATGCGGTTGTGTTTATTACAACCAAATGCATTTCAAAAACCAGTGATTGAAAAAACACTATTGCCCAAGGACTTTCCTTTTATTCTTTAGCATAGAGAACATTTTATTACTAAATTTAATCTGCTGAAAATCAAATTTTATAACTGAAAATTTGGCACAAATGTAACCATAGGCATTTTAGTGATTGCATTAAGTAAATGAAGGTAAAATACACCTCTGAAATTGTATATTTAGCTACAGTTTAGCTCATCATTTATTCTGTGTATGAAGTATAAAACAGTGATCTGAAAATCATTTCCATCTAGTTCAGTCTAAAGATATTCTTCAGTTCTTTGGAGTATGAAAACCCTAATTTCTAGAATGTATTCCGTTTGTGCCACAATGGGATGTTCATCTTTCCTCAACAATGCTTGATCTCTTAATACCATCACTGACACCCTCAGTGGACGGCCTTCCTAGGCATTGCTCCATAAGTGAAGAGTTTTCAAGAGAACTTCAGCAGGATCACTGGCGTCTAAAAGAGTCATTTTCTCATTATTTAACTTTTTAAGCCTTCTTGCTATTGAAGAAAACATGATTAGCAGCAGAGCTGCAAAATAATCTGTAGTTAAGAAGAATGCATTGCCAGCATCTGCAAAGCTCAGATAGCATCTTTGAATGGTTAACAGAGCGTAGAGGTAAAGACAGCCCTTATCACAGTTGAGGTGACATATTGAGGGATGTTAGCCCTGGTGTTTTCAATATTTTAACATTTTGCATATCTCCAGAACACAGAGACTGGAAGGTCCTATATTAATTATATTTTTTAATTTTCTCTATTCTTAATGACATGGCATCTGGAGCCTCACTTCCCCTATGGGGAGCCTTCCCCACCTAGAACTAGCCAATTCCTAAAGATAGTAGAAGCCTGATCTGCAAGTATGCCTTTCATACACAAACCAACCAATCCAGAGCCCACACCCCCCAACTACCTCCTTTATTGAACTGAACTGACTCACATCAAGCCGCTGCTTCCTCCCCCAATCCCCTCAGGACAAAGTATCCGACAACTTGGAACAGTCTCTCCACTCTCTACAAGCCCACTGAAATTATTCTGCTAGTCAATCCCAAGCCTGCTTCTCCTGTCTGTCCTATTTCTTCCTACAGAAACCACAATAAAGGCTCTTACCCACACTTTCCCCTCACTCTTTCTCTGTCCCCTGACTAACCCTGGTTGCTTCCCCATGTGGCCCCACGTGGTGTGCCTGGACTCCTAGAAAGTCAACATCATCACCCAGGACCTGTGAATATGAAACAGTCTTTCTTCATAGCAGCCGTTTCCATGTCTGTGTGTCTTACTATACCTCATCAAAACAAACGCTGGGTACATTTTAAAACAGGTCCCTAATAATGTGGAGCTTTCTCGTCTGCACCATTTCCATTTTCCGGCAGCACTTTATTCCCAGTATTAATGTGAAAGTATGTGTTGTCTAGCACTGCGTGTAAATTTTGAGGCATGAGAGATATATAAAGGGAAGACAATGACTGTCTTTCTTACTTTGTTTACTGGTCTTATTTATACCATTGAGGAATCTTTCCCATAAAACTCAGCCCAACTCAGTCATTACTCTGGCACCATACTTTCTGGGACTACATGACCCAAACTTAATTGCTTACATTGAAATTATTTGGTCTCTCTGTTTCTAACCCTTTTTTTTAAAATTACACTAGATTTTAACTGATTTTAAAGTGCTGAAAACTAATACATAACTGATTAAACAGCCAAAGCCTTCATTTGGTGGTAATCAATAGTCATCACATTTATGTATTTGCCCCATGTAGCTTGATGTGTTTGTCATACTATGACGTATTACGTTTTGCCTAAACAATTAACTTCCAGTCGGCCTGATAAATTGCTTCACTCTTCTCATAGCTTGTGCCCAATTGACTCTGCTGTTCAATTTTCTCCACTGGAGTCACAGTGCCCCAAGGCTTAGCCCATTTCATCTGTGCAACTAAACACTGTTCTCCAGGGTTATATTTAATTAAAACACAGCAGTATTTAAGTGAAATATTTAACTTCTGAGGTCTAAACCAACTTTCACTACCATAATTACTTTGCAAAAATCACACCATGGCAAGACAGGAAAAAAATGCAAATTTAGAGTCACTGTTTGAAAGCTGAAGAACAAAATCATTAGGAAACAGCAGTCTTTTCTTCCCCTTGTTTCTACTTAATAAACCCATTCACTAAATATATCAGCAAAATGTCATCCACGACAGATGTGCAGGTCTAAGTGCTTTTGTAGTTTACCAACTAAAAGAAAACAGCTTCGGAATCTTGTATCTGAGTATGGTAGGTATGTATGAATATATACATATGTGTGTACGTGAGTGGGTAAATGAGTGTGTGTATGCAGGCACTATCATTAATTAAACACCTACTATGTACAAGGCTTAACCAATGTACATTTCTTCTCTTATTTAATTCTTACAATTCTAGTCACTCCTTATCCAAGGTTTCACTTTCTGCTGTTTCAGTTACCAGTGATCAACCACAGTAAAAAAAAATTAAGATTTTGAAAAAGAGAGGGAAAGAGAGAGAGAGATCATAGCCACATAACTGTTGCTGCAGTATATTGTTATAATTATTCTATTTCATTATTAGTTATTGTTAATCTCTTACTGAGCCTAATTTATAAATGAAAATTTATCATAAATATGTATGTATAGGAAAAATCATAGTATATATAGTTTTCATTATTGTCTATGGTTTCCAGCATCTGCTGGGTACCTTGGAACATATCCCTATGGCTAACAGGGGACTACTGTATACATAAATACGATTCTTACAACTATAGCCCTGTATAATTAATTTATCAACTTTCAACATTCTCCATAACATTAAGATTATATGAATAAATGTTTATGTTTTATACATGGATAGAAAACTGTTGAAATGCAAAATGTTTTAGAAACTCTACTTACCTTATAGGCAATTAACATTTCTGTGCCAGGCCCTGTGTTAAGTTTCCTTATGTTTTCCCTTCCAACATTCCATGAAATGGGGCTTATTCTCTTTCTGTTATTGAGAAAATAAAGCTCCCTAGAGGTAAAATGACTTTTCAAGTTTATGTAGCTCTTTTCCTCTCTACAGTAATTTTTGTCCAGGGAAATCACAGATGATGAGGTGGATAATAATTTCAGACATTAACTGAGGTTTTTTTTTACATACTTTCTTGGTTTGCCTGTGGTTTTTCTCTCAGCGAGTCAGTGGCACTCACTGCCTGGCTGAGGGTGGGCAGATGCAACTTCCGAGGATGAAGCTGGGGGCAACACATGTTTCACAGAGAAGCCCCATGTCAGGTCCAACATGGTGCCTGAGCAGGAAAAAGGAATAGTCCAGACCAGGGCTTCTTAAGCTTACTGTGGTAAAGGGGAAGTTACTTTTTTTATAAAAATAATAAAATAAATGACAATATACATGAAATGAAACTCCTGAATTGTTTTAAAACAAGCTCTTTAATATTTAAATTCAAGTTTTAATTACTAAGTTAAATTACTACGGAAAGTTCTAAACTCTTACTGTCAATTTCTGTACTTAATTTCACAGGAACAAATGTGATGCTCTGTGTGTTTATGTCCCCCCAGAATTTTATGTTGAAATCCTCACCTTCAAGGTGGTGATATTAAGAGGTGGAGTCTTTGGGTAGGTGATTGGGTCATGACGACAGAGCCCTCAGGAATGGGATTAGTGCCTTTGTAAAAGAGGCCCCAAAAAACTACCTTGCCTCTTCCACAATGTGAGGACACAGTAAAAAGCACCACATATGAATCAGGAAATGTGCCCTCAGCAGACACCAAATCTGCCAGCACCTCAGTGTTGGGCTTTGCAGCCCCAGAACTACAAGAAATAAGTGTTAGCTATTTCTTTCTGCCTAGACTATGGTATTATGTTATAGCAATCCAAATGAGTCAGTAACTAATAATTTAAATAATTTGTATACTAAGACTGGGTTTACATAGCGCACTTTTTATAGCTCTCATCTAGGCCATAGGCCTGAGGGAAGCCACCCGGATTCCTACTCACCTCAGTTTACTGTGGGGAAGCCAGTCAGAAGTTCCCGGTCCCCAAGAGGGCAGAGAAGTGTCTGAGAAGATTGACAGACTAAAGAGCCTGTGATTGGCTTGAGAAGTACACAAAATGCATGGAATAGGCAACTGGAGGTCACAGCAGGACTGCAAGCATCAGTGGCACATGGAATGAGGTGAAGTCAATGTTCAAGATCTAGTGGGACAAGTTACACCTCAAGTGAAGGCATAAGAGAGCAGGTGTACCATAAGCCAGATATGCACCCTTGAAAATGCACCACAATTCCCTTACATAAACCTCCATAAACCCAGATTTCTCTACAGAGAAAGAAGAAGGTGGGAAAGAATCTTGAATGGCTGAGTAGTGAGTCCCCCCAAAAAAATATTAAATTTAAAATCAGAAGTGACAGAGTTATTTCAATTTGGCAAGATTCAATTTTTTGCTATTGAGGATAAGCAGGAACTCATACACTAAAATGAATTTAATTGCAGATATTTCTTAATTTCATTTTTGAAACTTGAATATGTATTTTGTAAAACATTATATTTTCTGAGTGGAATTATTTGCATTTTAACAGAAGACAATGTCTTAATCCAGAAAAGTGAATTTTTAACACGAGAATTTCTGAAAATAGTCACAAGTCACTAGGAGAGATTTTTTAAAGGAGAACTTAAATCTCCTGTGTCACAATGCCACAGAGAGCCACTGACCCAATGTGCTGAACTCTTTCAAGAAGTTCTATCGACCCACACAGAAATCATTGGCAGATCTGTAATGATATATAACATCAGATGGCTTTTTGTTTTAGAAATCATGTAATATTCCATATGTTTACTTGAGAATTTAGAGTCATATACAGGTAATATTAGAGTGGCAAATAATCCATCCAGATGATGAACTGAGAATACTCTTTCCATTAAGTGTTTTGTTAACGTATAGACCTCGGCATTCCTGTGGTACTGAAATGTTCACCGCCTTACCATAGTTATTGCTGCTCTCCCCTCCAGGCATGGGTACTCAACTGTAGTGCATGTCAGTGACCATCAAAACTTTTTAGCCACAAAGTATTTTTTTTTTTAAACTAGGTGCAGAATCTCAACATACAAAATTTGAATTTATAAAACAGACAAAAGAGGTAAAAAGGTGGAAACATGTCCACTATTAATCTCTTCATCATGTCAGTCTGTGAAGCTACGCCAAATTCTGGGTGTCTGAGGAACAAAACTGGAAACTACTTTTGGGGTTCTAGCTACATAGATGGCTAGCTCTTCCTTGAATAAACTAAACTCCGGGCTTTACATGTTGTATACTTCCTTCATATTTACAGCAGTCAATTATAACAGATGACTCACTGGAAAAAGTATTGCGAACAGTTGATGCAGGGGACATCTCATCTCTGAAGACATGGTCGGTATGATACTGTGGGCTAGGCTTAACATAAAGCTACTTCTATGTGACATATCTTTGGACTATACTAAAGATGTGGTTGGTTTTATTCACTGTGGCTTGCCAGCAAAGTAATACCTTACATTAGCAACCTAAAAAGTCTCAGGTTTCCAACTTTATTTGTTAACATTGACTCAGCTAAAAGATGATATCAACATGATTTTAGTCACATACTTTCAATGAATATATCCAGATTTATTGTTTTTACTTCTTGTGATGACATCTGAAACAAATTTTGAAAAGTAATAACATGAACATTTTATGCTGTCTTCCACTTCCTTATACTTTAATCCCCATATTTAGGGTAAAGTTTCTTCCATGAATCAGGTTTCCAACTTTCAGTTTAGTTGTATAGGGTAATAACAACATATGGTAGCTATTATCACAATCAATAGCAAAAATAACCAAAATAATTTTTGCTTCCATTTAAATATGACCACTTTCTCAATCCATTGCTTTAGGAAGACATTTCTAAACCAAGAAGATTAAGTCATAGCAAATAAGCCATTATTAATTCGTCATGTAACTTCTCATTAATTTATCTTTAAAAATACATTTATTAAACACCTACTTTGTATGAAGCCCTGTGTTTTGGAATTACTAAAGTGAATAAGCCATGATTGAACTAATGACCTGACTACAATTAAGTAGGATTGTCACATTTCTAGAAAAGAATGAAATATAACTGTCCCACTTCTTAACAGAACCTTGAGTCTCTCAGGCATGAGTTTTTGTTGCTATTCATACCAGTTGTACCCCAAGGAAAACTGCTAATGGTATTAAACCATTTAGCATAATCCCATTCTCCTGACCTGGTCCCAGAATGAAACACATGATCTAATTTGTCCAATTAGAGTGAAGCCCTGCCTAGAGCTTTGTTCAAGGGGAAGGAAGGAGAAGCTTTCCCTTCCTCAGTAGGAAGTAACAGCAGGGGTAATGGATTGACTGTATTATCAGGCTATGAAAAGCCAGCTGGAGGGCAAAACCTACAGGAAGGAGAGCAGAGCTAAGAGAACTTGAAGAAACATAGCCAAAGTTATGATCAAACCAGCCCTGTAAGTTTTTTATTACACAGGCAACTGATTGTATGGGTTTTCTACCATTTGAGACAAAAGTGTTCCAACTGAAACAATATCAAGAACCATCAACCAAAAAGAAGGTGAGAAGTTACCAAAACAACAATCAGAAGTTTCTGAAATAATCTTTCTAGTTTAGATGACATCTAAAGTTAAGCTGAAGGTTCATCATCAGTTCTAACTAAGTGATACATTTTCTTCTAAAAAAGAAGGAGCAAATATTCTGGTATCTCTTTCTAAAGGATTGATGTCTGTAAAGAATTAACTTTAGGATCAATTATTATTATTATTATTATTATTATTATTATTATTATTATTATTTGAGATGGAGTTTTGCTCTTTTTGCCCAGAATGGAGTGCGGTGGTGCAATCTCGACTCACCACAACCTCGGCGTCCCAGGTTCAAGCGATTCTCCTGTCTCAGCCTCCTGAGTAGCCGGAATTACAGGCATGCGCCACCACACCCAGCTAATTTTGTATTTTTAGTACAGACGGGGTTTCTCCATGTTAGTCTGGCTGGTCTCGAACTCCCGACCTCAGGTGATCTGCCCGCTTCGACCTCCCAAAGTGCTGGGATTACATGCGTGAGCCACGGCGCCCGGCCAGGATCACTTATTTTCTTAGATAACATCTTATCTTCAGGTAAGTGTTTTATTTATTTAAAATCTCTCCTCTTTGACTTTTGGAATAGTTACATGTGGTTGCAGAATTTGAAATCACGTGAACAAATAAGAAGCTGGTGAAAAGAAAACAAGAGTGTGGCATACTTATAATGATGCTCATTATTCACCATTGTCCCTTATCTCCATTCAGCTAAGACACTCCAGTTCCAGCAGTCTATGATTTTAAGTACTGTGTCTGCTAACAAGCTACTCGGAACTTGACAATGTGTGACACTCTGAATTCCAAACATTTCAGTTAAGTCTGTAGAATACTAAGCATGACCTAGGGAAAGCTTACTAAAAATAGCTGGTTGGCTTTTTTTAGTTAAAAGTAGAAGGTTGGTTTTATTTAAGACATAAGTTTAGTTTGCTTAGAACCCATTGATATGAAAAATTTGGGAAATAATGTTGCTTTCATATTTTAAAATACTTATCCTTCTTATCACTTTATTTCTTAGAAAGGGTGGCCCAGATAAATTGCATAAACACTAGGTGGCACTATAGTTTGAAATAACATTCAGATCAAAGTCTAAAACAGTGCGAATATATACATGGTAAAACAAAAAAAGAAAACCAAAAGAGTGTAATAAATCCATATTCCAGAAAATACTAAATACTGAAGCCTTTTAGTACTTATTAGAGGAAATAAACCTTATGCAGTTAATACACTGACTTAGTGAATTAACTTATATAACGTAATAGGTAAAAAGATAAGTCCTCCCACCCCACCCAACTGAAATATGATCAGTACTTGCTGGAAAGCAGCAACTGATTAAAACAGTTATAATTATTCAAAAATCCTTTCATTCATCCAGATGAAACCTCAATTTATGTTTCAGCATGTCCACCAAATTTTACAGCTAAATAATGTTTGTTTGTTTTCTCAGAAAACTAAAGCAAAATATATACTGGCATTGCATAATAATAAAAGAATAAGTTATGTGAGAAGTTAAAAATATGATTTATTGTTTTTTCTACTTAAATCATTGTTACATAGGTAATTTATATCCAATAATCTCAGTAAATTATACCTCATAAATTTAGGATCTTTGCTCAAAGTAAATTTTATATATAAAAATGCAGCATTTTATTGGTCTTTGTAACCAACCTGAAATTAAGGACCCTGAAAGAGTTCATGGATGGGGGCTGTCAGCAGCCTGAGCGAGTGGTGCATTTGATTCCACCTTGATGGGGACCCTGAGCCACCTGGAGACATCTCGGTTGGTTTCCAAACTCATGTCTTCTGTCCTTTGGAGCTGTCTACATATGTGATATCAAGGAGAACACCTTCATGAAATCAGAAAGTAATGCCCAATGGTGAAATAAAATTAATTTTTAAAAACTTCAACTGAATATTTGATTTCATGTAACTGAAGTCTTCATAGAGTAAATGTAAATTTGTTTTCATCGCATTTGAGAGGATAAAAAATGTGCCCTTTATCCTGATAGATCAATTTATCCTTCCTAGTACTGCTAGGTCGCATTCTCTCTTATGGAATACAGTCCTGTTAAGTGATTGGGAAGGAATATTTTCAAAATAATTGGGGAGGTTCTGTTAGAGATTTATCTAAGACTGTCTTTGCTCATAAAATATTGCCATTGTGGCTGGATAAGCTCTGAATACATTCACTATTAAAGGCAGGAATACCATTATCAAAACATAAATACACCAAAAAAAACTAAAAATGCAGTTTTTAAAACTTAGACTAATAACATATTTTGTTCATGTCATTGTTTCAAGAGAAGAAAATATTATATATTTGGAGACAGAAACTTGAATTATAAGCAACTAGAAAAGAATACAAGAGCTTTAGAGTAGCCAAAAATTACATATACTGAACTCATCTGTTTCTAGGGAACAGTATTAAGGATCATGTAATATAAAAATATATGAGATGGTTTCTGTTCTTTACAGGACTTAAAATTTTAGAGGGAAAAGGTATAAACATTTGGAAAAGTAATTAACAATAAAAGATGTAAATAACAATTCAAGGCAGATATAGATAAGAAGTTAAAGGTAGTACCTAAGATTTCCTGAATGAGTGGTACAAATACAAAACTATAAAAGTTATTTAGAAGAAAATGTATTTATTAGTTGGGGTATAGACAAGACTACTACAAAAGAGAGTTATAAAAATTAGGCAAAACTACTGTAAAAGAAAGAGAGTTCTAAGAATTTAAAGGCTTAAACACTACAGGAAAGACAGTCCAGTGAAGGTATGTAACTTGACTTCACTGGGTCATCCGGGAACCCGAAGCTCCTTCTACTTAGTCGCTTCACTGTCCACAGAGTATTGTTTTGCTTATGGTGATACTAGCACCTGGGAACGCTAAATCAAACATCTCATGGCTCAACACACTCAGCTCTCATGTGCATTAAGTCTGGAGAGTGACCTGGGAGGGGTTGTGGGAAGGTTGGGCACCTACTCCATGCAAACATTTGGAGACCTAGGTCGACTGAGGCTCTATAATCTTCTGTGTGGTTCTGGATCCTGGGCTTGTGACATCCAGTATTTATTGCTTGTGCAAATTAGGAGTCTCAAAACATATTTTTAAATTTTTGTTTTATTTTTGTTGTTTCATAGACAAAATTCTCTCCATACCTTAGCAGGTTTCTAACTTATTTATTCCTGTCAGCTCCAGGGGTAGGCAGAATTCTAAGATGGCCCTCAAGATTCCTGCCTCATGGCATGCATGCTTTATATAATGCCACCTCCTTGAGTTTAAGCAGACCTGTGAATATCATGAGGCATTATTTCCGTGATTAGGTTATTAATCAATTGACTTTTGAGTTAATCAAAAGGAAGATTATGTTGGGTGTAGTAGCTCATGCCTGTAATCCCAGCACTTTGGGAGGCCAAGGCAAGAGGATCACTTGAGCCCAGGAGTTCAGGGCTGCAGTGAGTGAAGATCACACCACTGTACTCTAGCCTGGGTGACAGAGCAAGACCCTGTCTCTAAAAAGAGAAAAGAGGGAGATTTTTCAGGGTGGGCCTGACATAATCAGGTGAGTCCCTCAAGGGCCCTTTCTAAAGTCAGAGAAATTCTACATAGGGAGGATTCCCCACTGCTGGTTTTGCAGATGGAGGGAACCACCTGCAAGGACCTGAGAGCATCCTCTAGGAGCTGAAAGCAACCCCCAGCTGACAGCCAGTAAGGAAGTGAGGACCTCAGTCTTCCAACATCAAGGAGCTGATTCTGCCAACAACCAGTGATTTGGGAAATGAAACTTGAGCCTCAGATGAGACCAATATCTTAATTGTAGTCATGTGAGAGCTGAGCAGATAATCTGGCTACACTTCTGGTCTATGGAACTGGGACAAACCTTGTTCAAAGCTGCTAAATTTATGTTAATTTCTGACGTAGCAATAGAAAGCTAATGAAATTCATGTTTCTAGATATAATTATCGAGCTCAGATTCTTGCTTTTCTCCTTACCCTCATACCTTTTTTTTTCTCTCTCAATTTAAAGCATCTTCCTTGAGGGCACCAGACTTAGGAAGAAAGGCCACAATCTTAATATGGTATTTTCCTCAAGGCTAAGTATTCACAAGCTTTTCTTACTTAAAAGCTTTTAAAGTTTTGCATCTTCTCGTTTAGGACCTATGAGTCATTGGCATTTCCAATCCCTCTAAGTCCAGTTTCTGGACTGACTTTATTCCCTATCCCTTCTCTTGCAAATGTGCTAATTCTTGCTTGTGTTCTTCCCTTTTCTTGTATAACCTTGTGTAATAAAGCCAGTTACAACTATACACACTACTAATATTTTATTTTCTAACTGCATTTGAAATTCTGAAAGAATAATTTTTAAGAAAAATATAAATTACAATAATTTTCTACTTTAAAAAGACAATAACTTTTACAAATTAATAATATAACAAAATGACAGTTTTGAAAGAACAATCTTGAAAACATAGCATTAGGCTCAGAAAGATTTTTGTCCAAATTCATTAAAACCCACAAAGAACAATTAGTCTCATGCTATTTGTACACACTTCCAGAACAGAAAGGAAAAGGAAACTTCCAATTTTTTGAAAGCAATTATAACCTTAATTCCAAAACCTGACAAAGAGAGAATGAAGATGAAGAATATAGAGATAAAGAAAAAACTTTTGAGTTTGGTATATAATAAAAAAAATTTGACAAAATATATAGTTTTGAATGTAGATGCAAAAATCTTAAAATACAATTCTGCAATATAACAACAAAAACCCAATCACCACAAGAGATATACTTCAGTACCATTGAGTATTGTTTAATATTAGCATTGGTTAGTGATATGGTTTGGCTCTGTGTCCCCACCCAAATCTCATCTTGAATTGTAATAATCCCTAAATGTCAAGGGCGGGACCACGTGGAGATAACTGAATCATGGAGGTGATTTCCTCTATGTTGTTCTCATGATAGTGAGTGAGTTCTCATAAGATCTGATGGTTTCATAAGGGTTTTCCCCCTTCACTTGGCTCTCATTCTCTCTCCTGCCGCCCTGTGAAGGGGTGCCTTCCACCATGATTGTAATGTCCTGAGGCCTCCTCAGCCACACAAAACTGTGAGTCAATTAAACCTCTTTCCTGTATCAATTACCCAGTCTCCAGTATGTCTTTATTAGTAGTATGATAATGGACTAATACAATTAGCAAGATGAAAATACATCTTATTATACAAATGGGTGGGAAAAGGAAAGATCTTGATAGATTTCAAAAAAAAGATGACATTTAAAATTTATATCTGATTAAAATTCTCAATAACATAGAAATATAACATATTTCTTTATTGTGCGGGAGAGGTGGAAATCTATTTCCAACCAACAGCCCATGTCACGCTTGATGGGAGGACACCGAGGAGAGTATCAGGAATATTTATCTCCATTATTATTTAACAAAGTAATGGAAGTTCAAGTCAAAGTTATTTTAGACAAAAAGTTGCAAATATGATTATAATTTGCAAGTAATATAATTACATACTTGAAAGCTTCCATTAATTGAAAAAATATTAAAAGTAATTTATTAAAAAGTTATGGGTAAGACAACAGACCTTTTAAATACACAAAAATATTTTAAATATCAATAATTAGTCAAAATATAATAGTTAAAAGTCTTATTTATAACAACACAAAAATAAATACCTAAAATATACTTACTAAATGTGGAAGATGTATGATGATATAATGTTCTTTGGAAATCATTTAATAAAGTTTGAAGTACTATTAGCAACAAAAAGACACTTGGGACACTTTGCTAATCAACTGGAAACCTCATAATTTTTACCATAATGTATTCCATCTGAATTAGAAATTAACTGAAAAAAAACTACAATAAAGGATTGATGAGTGTTTTTTTTTTTTACAAATTTTAGTATGAGTATAGACTTCTTTAGCTTGACTTCAAAGGCAGATTCCTTCAAAGGGAAAGATTAGTAGATTTTATTTTTAAAAATGTTAAAACAGTCATCTTCAATGGAGAGGAGGTAGGGATCAGAAGGCTCGATTATCTTTCCTAAGGATGTAAGCATATCGGAATCTCTGTGTGTGTGTGTGTGTGTGTGTGTGTGTGTGTGTGTGTGAGAGAGAGAGAGAGAGAATTCTAAAATCACTCTTGTTTTGTGTAATTTTTAATTTTTATTTTTTATAACTGTCACTTATTGAGTGTTTAATATGTTCCAGGCAATATTCACATGAGGTAGGCATCATTATTTTCATTTTACAGAAGAAGATTGAAATCTAGAGAAGTTATTGTCATCATTATTATCAGAACCAAGGTAACATTATTACTAGACTGCATATTCTGCATATTGTACTAAGTACTTTACAAAGATTCTCATTTATTTAATTCTCACAGTGATTATCTGAGCAGGAATAATTAATACTCTAATATTCAGATAAGAAATCTCAGGCTGAGAGGTGAAATAATTTGACCAGCTTGTAAGTGCCAGCCTATAATTAAAGCCTATGTCTTCCTTCACTCACCCCTCCTCCACCAGCCAGGGCTCTGAAGCATTAGTTATGCTACTGAAATTGTAAAAATCTCAAATAATCTTAAGAACAGAAATGAGATTTTTCTGTTTTTCAGAAACAGATATTTACTAAAAAGTGTAAAGAACACATTGACTTACAATTTCTATAAATTCAGTACGTACCAATTAACAATGTTAAAATGTAATGTAAAAATTGGAAAAAAACTATTTGTAACGTGTTTAATAATAAATATTAATTGAAGCCCAAGTCGTTCTGAATGCACAGCAAGGTTGGCAAGAATAATAATGGCAGAACAGTTCACGGGGGTCTTGAGCTTCAGCTGAGCTGGGCTCAATATGCCCAAAGGGGCTTTCTCAGGAAGGTGGAAGGATGGTGCCAAAGGGGGAAGCAGATCCAAATGGAAGAGAAAAGGGGCTGGTACTTCACTATGGCAATGCTCTTCATCAGGCTAGATGGCATCTTCCTGGAGCTGGGCAGAGAGAAGCAGAAAAGGCTGCCCACCTTCAACTGCATGCTGGCCCTGCTCCAGCAAGTGCTCAAGTCTGAGGACCTCCCCCACTACCGAGCCCTGGCCTGGTGTTGCAACAGAATGCTGCTGGAGAGGAAGGACCCCTTATCCATCACCACCATGGGCATCCATACTGTGAGTACTCGGAGACCGACCCTCTGGACTGCTTTGGCAAGGCCTTCGAGATCGCCAAGAACCAACCTCCCATCCTGTATCACCCGGCCAAAATATTCCACTTAGGAAAGCAGGATATGGCCACTGGAACCTGCAACATGGCCCTGAATGTCCTACAAGATCCAGAGCTCAACTGGCAGACATACTGCACAAGGGCTGTGACAGGGTCTCATTCTGTTGCCCAACTGGAGTGCAGCAGCCTGATCATGGCTCACTGCAGCCTAGACCTCCTAAGCTAAAGTGATCCTCCCGCTTCAGCCCCCCAAGTAACTTGGGCTACAGGAGCACACCACCAAGACTGGCTAAATTTTTTGTTTGTAAAGATGGGGTCTCACTATGTTGCCCGGGCTGGTCTCAGGCTCTTAGGCTCAAGCAATCCTCCCACCTCGGCTTCCCAAAGTGCTGGGATTACAGGTGTGAGTCACCACGCCCGGCCCTGTAAGGTTTTTGAGTGAAAGAATGAAGGAGCCTCCACTCGCTGCAGGAATCCCTTCTAGAATGCCTGGTCAATGAGCCTCTAGCCTCTTCTGGATTGGCATGGGTGGAGTCAGACTGACTGGAGTTGAAATCTGGCCTCTCTGTCTTGTGGAACTTGCAGCAAGCCACTTATCCCTCCAAACCTCAGTTCCGAAATCTGTAAGATGTAGATAATAACATCCACCTTAATATGTTGTCAGTGGACTCAGTGAGGTAGCATCTGAAGCACAGTGCCTTGGACATATGAGGTGCTTCTGAAAGGCAGTAGAGATTGTTTAATATAGTGGATCAGAGCTCTGGCTTTGAACACAGACAGCCTTGGTTCAAATCCCACATCACCACTTATGTGCTATGGGACCTTTGGCAAAATACTGTTGTCCAAATTTTGAGCCTCAGTTTCTTCATCTGTAGACTGGAGGTGATAGTATGTCTAATAGAGTTGTTATGATAATTAAATTAGATTCTGTATGATAAACTCAGCTTCAAGCATACAGTAAGAGCTCATAAGTAGCTGACTGCTACTATTAGATATGTTTTCTAATTAACTAACCGTCTCTTGAGGCAGTCCACTGCAGTCATTCAGCTCTGCAAGTTACACATGTAGGTGATAGCTACCTCCCTCTACCTTCTGGCACTGGCCCCAGATCTGCCCTCTGAAACCACCACAGAGCCCATTTGCTTGGAGCACAGACCTGGGGCTCTGAGTTTACTTTGCTGCGAGCTAAAGAGTTCCCCCATCCCCTCCTTTACTCTACTACAGTTCACATGACCTAGTGGCAAATCTGCTCCTAGTCTTGGTCTCAATGGCTTAATTATTTTGCCAGCAAGTATGAGGCAAGAGTGAAATCCTTCACTGTAGTTGATGTGGTTATTATTATAGATAATAATAAAATTAACCATAATAGTAAATAATGATTTTTTTTTTTTTTTGAGACGGAGTCTCACTCTGTCACCCAGGCTGGAGTGCAGTGGCGTGATCTCGGCTCACTGCAAGCTCTGCCTCCCGGGTTCATGCCATTCTCCTGCTTCAGCCTCCCGAGTAGCTGGGACGACAGGCGCCCGCCACTGTGCCTGGCTAATTTTTTTGCATTTTTAGTAGAGACAGGGTTTCACTGTGTTAGCCAGGATGGTCTCGATCTCCTGACCTTGTGATCTACCCGCCTAGGCCTCCCAATGTGCTGGGATTACAGGCGTGAGCCACTGCGCCCGCCCAAATAATAAAATATTTCTAAAAAATAAGTATTAATTGAATGCCTACTGTGTGTGGACATTGTTTTAGTTACTGAGTATAGAGAGAAGAAACAGATAGGTCCCTACCCTTATGAAACTTAATTCTAAAAGTAGGGTTAATACCCTTAAAATCATTAATAAAGAAGAGTAGCAGAGTAGCAACACACTTTCACTACTTCTATTCAACATAGTACTGGCAGGCCTAGCCAGAGCAGTCACACAAGAGAAATAAAAAAAGGGCGTCCAGATTGGACGAGTGAAAGTCAAATAATCTCTGTTTGCCAGTGATATAATCTTATACCTAGAAAACTCTAAAGACTGCTCCAAAAGACTCCTAGATTTGCTAAATGAATTTATTAATAGTAAAGTCTCATGTTACAAAATCAGTGTACACAAATCTGTAGCACTTCTATACACCAATAACAATGAAACAGAGACTCAAATCAAGAAGTCAATCCCATTAACAAAAGCTGTAAAAGAAATAAAATACTCAGGAATATGCTTAACCAAGGAGGTGAAAAAATCTCTATAAGGAGAACTACAAAACTCTCATTAAGGAAATTGTAGATGACACAAACAAAAGGAAAAACATCCCATGCTCATGGATTGGAAGAAGCAATATTGTGAAAATAACCATATTGCCCAAAGCGATCTAGATTCAAAGCAATTCCTATCAAAATACCAATGTCATTTTTCACAGAATTAGAAAAAACAATCCTAAAATTCACATGGAACCAAAAAAGATCCTGAATAAAAAAAGTAATCCTAAGTAAAAAGAACCAATCTAGAGGCATCACATTACCTGACTTCAAATTATACTACAAGGTGATGGTAACGAAAACAGCATGGTGCTGGTATAATGGACCAATGGAACATACCGGAGAACCTAGAAATAAAGCCAAATACCTACAACCAACTGATCTTCAACAAAGCAGACAAAAACATATACTGTGGAAAAAATACTCTATTCAATAAATGGTGCTGAGAAAATTGGAGAGCCACATGCAGAAGAGTGAAACTAGATCCTAGTCTCTCACCATATACAAAAATTAACTCAAGGTGGACTGAAGACTTAAATCTAAGACCTGAAAACCTTAAAGTTTTAGAGCATAATATAGGGAAAATTCTTCTGGACAGTGGCCTATGCAGAGAATCTGTGACTAAGACTCCAAAAACAAATGCAACAAAAACAAAAATAAATAAATGAAACTTAACTAAACTAAAAAGTTTCTGCACTGCCATCTGATCTTTGACAAAGTTGATAAAAACAAGCAATGGGAAAAGGACTTCATATTCAGTAAATAGTGCTGGGATAACTGGCTAGAAATATGCAGAAGGTTGAAACTGGACTCCTTTATTATACCATATACAAAAATTAATGTAAATTAGATTAAAGACTTAAATGTGAAGCCCAAAACTATAAAAATCCCAGAAGACAACCTAGGCAATACCATTCTTGTCATAGGTATGGGCAAAGATTTCGTGACAAAAATGCTAAAACTAATTACAATCAAAGCAAAAATTGATAAATGGAATCTAATTAGACTAAAGAGCTTCTGCACAGCAAAAGAAACTATCGACAGAATAAACAGATAACCTACAGAATGGGAGAAAATCTTTGCAAACTATACATCTGACAAAGATCTAATATCCAGCATCTAGGAAATTAAACAAATTTACAAGAAAAAAATATAAACAACCCCATTGAAAAGTGGGCAAAGGACATGAACAGACACTTTTCAAAAAAAGACAAACATGCATGCAGCCAACAAGCATATGAAAAAAAGCTGAATATCACTCAGCATTAGAGAAATACAAATCAAAACCACAATAAGATACCATCTCACACCAGTCAGAATGGCTTTTATTTAAAACAAAACAAAACAAAACAATACAAAAAACCAGATGCTAGTGAGGTTTTGGAGAAAAAGGAACACTTATACACCGTTGGTAGGAGTGTAAATTAGTTCAACCATTGTGGAAAACAGGGTGGCCATTCCTCAAAGACCTAAAAACAGAACTACCATTTGACCCAGCAATACCATTACTGGTTATATACCCAAAGGAATGTACATCATTCTGTCATAAAGACACATGCATGTGTATATTCATTGCAGCACTACTCACAATTGCAAAGATATGGAATCAACCTAAATGCCCATCAGTGGTAGACTGGAATAATACAGAAAATGTGGTACATATACACCATGGAATACTATGAGGCCAAAACAAAAGAATGAGACTATGTCTTTTGCAGGAACGTGGATGGAGCTGGAGGCAATTATCCTTAGCAAACGAATGCAGGAACAGAAAACCAAATACCGCATGTTCTCACTTACAAGCAGGAACTGAATGATGAGAACACATGCACACATTGAGGGAAACAACACATACTCGGGCCTGTTGGAGGGTAGAGAGTGGGAGAAGGGAGAGCATCAGGAAAAATAACTACTGAGTATTAGGCTTAATGTCTGAGTGATGAAATAATCTGTGCAACAAACCCCCATGACTCAAGTTTACCTATGTAGCAAACTGCACATGTACCCCTGAACTTAAAAGTTTACAAAAAGATTTTTAAAAGAATGGTTACATGTAGAGTTGGAGTTGCTGTGTAAACAATCATACATACTCTACTGGTCAGAGCACAACTGGGCCCAGAAATGGATGGATGTAAAACTGTGCGTACAGGACAGTTACCATCTCTCAAAGTTGGACCTAAGCAACCAACAATAAGGGATCATATAATAAAATAAAATTTACATGTAATGAAACATTCAGTCATTCAACATGAAGATTAGATTGCTATTTATGAAAAGGAAATATGGTTATAAGTGAATACTATCATTATGTGACTAGGAGACTTTGCATATCTAGGTTTTTTGTTGTTGTTATGGTTTTTGTTTTTTTTGCGACAGAGTCTTGCTCTGTCGCCCAGGCTGGAATGCAGTGGCTTGATCTTGGCTCACCGCAACCTCTGCCTCCCAGGTTCAAGTGTTTCTCCTGCCTCAGCCTCCTGAGTAGCTGGGACTACAGGCGCGTGCCACTGTGCCTGGTTAATTTTTGTATTTGTAGTAGAGACCGGGTTTTGCTGGGTGCGGTGGCTCACGCCCATAATCCCAGCACTTTGGGAGGCCAAGGCAGGTGCATATCTAGGTTTTAATAATAATTTATAATTTCTATACTTTTTAGGCTGTATATCTACCACACTAAAGCTCCGTAAATCCAATAATGAACCAGAGACTCCATTCAACTATTGGAATCTTAGCAACAAAATGCTTACAGATAGAAACTTACTGGTCTTGTTATTCTGCTTCTGCTCTCTGGCTAAATCCTATCAAACCTTTTATGTGCAGACACGGGTAAAATATACTAGAATTAGAAGGTATATTTTCAAGCCTTTTCCTCTAGAAAATAATGCAAACCACAATTATTTAACATTTGTTAGCTCCTAAAAATAGAGTCTTACTACTGATGTTTCAAATAGTCATTAAAGATGTGGAAGCTATGAGTCATGCTTGGCAGTTAAATATTTTATTTGCTGCTAGAACTTGGATTATGTCTTTGTATTTCATCAGGTAAGCCAAATATGGCATCATGGGAACAGCTAATTCCCTCTGCTCTCCTCACTGCTGCTATTAAATGATGTTTTTCATAACTACACAAGTGCTAAGGTACTAAGTGAAGCAATTACAACTTTGTTTATATTGGGACTAAGATAATTTGGTAAACTTGGGACTTGCCTAACAGGGGTTACTAGTCTAAATGTTATTCAATTGGCAGATCAACTTAGTATTTTCTTCCCACAAAATTGATTTTTTATAAATTGATTTTTTTAAAAAAAAACTAAAAGATCTACCAATGGTATTGGTATTGCACAGGTAGTCTCAAATATTTAATTAACAAAAGCTCTTTTGAACCTAAAAAAGAGAGTTTCTATTGGACAAATAATAGTGTATTGCCTATGTCCACTTTTTAGCTAGAGAGTGCCACCTGATCTATGACAAGGCATTGGGTTTATGAAGGATGTAGTTTTTAATTATAGGATTGTATAGTTTACCCATCAAAAAAAGATAGATTTTTCTTCCATAACACCCAATTCTGCAAAAAAGAAGCTTAAAGCTGAAAAACCTAGTATGCTTAAGCCTAGCATGCTATCAACAAGCAAAATTCTCAAAAATACACAAATTTAAATTTTGACAATATATAAATTAATATGGTAAATTACTATCTAAAGCTTTTACTTCACCAGTGTTTTACAGTTTACAAAGAGCTTTATGTAGTTCCTACTTGAGATAATTCATAAAACAACTGTTGCAGTTCAGGAGGCTAAGTGCCCTACTCTAGACATTCAAATAGTAAACAACAAGGTTCAATTCAAATCCCGTTCTCTGGGTACATTTTTTGGTAATATTCTCAGTATAGTCAGTCATCTTTCTATGTACTATGTTTTATTTGGATTAACTTTAACATGAGCACAACTTTGGTAAAATGATACATAAATCTTCCATACCCATCACAACTTTAGGCATTAAGGCAAAGAGTGCAGATGAAACATCACTGACATTTACTTGGGCACTCTCCACTCTTTCCTGTCATTGGAGGTGGCCTCACAGTCTTTCACAACACAAGTCTCCAAGCATCTACTATAAATTAGTTAGGTTTAAAATGCCAGAAGAAACCCAATTTTTTTCATTCCTGGAATAATGTTCTGTCAATAGAATGTTATTGCACGTGTTATTCCATACCGCTAATTCTTGATTACAAAATCATAAAAAATACCCAAGTGCTTCTGGAATTAGTAAATTTCCATAATTTTAATTATAGATTATCAGTAACTTTTAACTTTCTGATTTTTCCACTTCTCTCATTCTGTCACAAATTTGTCTTCCTTAAATCCATTTTTTTTTTTTTTTTTTTTTTTTTTTGAGACGGAGTCTCACTCTTTCGCCCAAGCTGGACTGCAGTGGCGCTATCCCGGCTCACTGCAAGCTCCGCCTCTTGGGTTCATGCCATTCTCCTGCCTCAGCCTCCCGAGTAGCTGGGATTACAGGCGCCCACCACCACGCCCGGCTAATTTTTTGTATTTTTAGTAGAGACGGGGTTTCACCGTGTTAGCCAGGATGGTCTCGATCTCCTGACCTCGTGATCCGCCCGCCTCGGCCTCCCAAAGTGCTGGGATTACAGGCGTGAGCCACCACGCCCGGCCAAATCCATTTTTACTAAAGTGCCTCTTTTTTAAAAGCTTCTTTGCTTTTTCAGTGACTACTTAATTAAGTCTAAACCCTTTGCTCTCACATCCAAGACCCACCACCATCTAGCCCAGTGTCTCTTTTCAGTCTCACATAATAAGAACACCATTCCTAGACAACTAGAACCACTCATTTCCTAATACACACTTCTTAACATCACCCTCTTTTCTTGATGAGCTCTGTCAGAGTCCTCTTTCCTTTCTTTAATCTTATTCCAACTTTGCTGGTCAAAATTTCTGCCAGTTTTCTAGATTGACCAACTGCTCTCTGAGTTTTAATTATCAGAGAGCTGTATAAGAATGGTTAAGTTACTTCACTTTCCATGCCTCAGATTCCTCATTTATAAAATGGGTACAAACAATAACTACTTTATGGGGTTGTTATGAATATTACATAAGCTACTCTATGGAAAGGTCTTAGAACAATGACTGAAACATGGTAAGTGTTATGCAAGCATTTGCTATTAGTTCATGATTATAATTTAAGAAGTTGGTCTTTTATTAAACTGTAGTACTATTTGGTATTATCTTGTGATAAGGTACTTATCACACTTGCTTTGATACATTAGCATATATATATTCTATGCTCTTTTTTAAATTTTAAGTTTCTTTAAGGAAGTTACAATGAATGTAACAAATTTTTGTATCAAAAAATCAATAATATAGTGTCTTGAATATCACTGGTGATTGAGAGATATTAATTGAACCCAATGTTTTGACAAAAGAATGCTATCTATTGAAATAATTTAATGTGTATTACATTTTCAAAATTCCTTGCATTTTTCAATCTTACACACAGTAAGTTATTTGCTAGAATCTCTGAGCAGGCAATGAACTTCAAAAGGATTGCAATTCACCTTGTTACTTCCAAACAAATGACCACTTCTCTTCATTTAATTGATCTCAAAGGACAAAAATACTTCAATAATTCTTTTTGGTCCATTCCAGTGTTTGTTTAGCTTAATTTTTTTCTAGCCAAATTCTGTTGATACAGTGAGTGTCTCCCAAAGATATTATCTTCTCAGTCTTTAATGCAAGTAAAGCAAGATTATTAGCTTCTTCTCAAAGGATCTATTTCTCTCATTTTTAAATCAACTTGAATCCCCTGCCCAGATTCACTCTCATTCCTGCACTGAAAAGAGAATATAGAAACCAGTGCCAAGAATCAAGGATGAATGATTTTCTGGATATGTTGAAATTTTATCTTGTATTTTTCATAAAGGCTGCATTCTTGCCTAGTGCTCACGGTGATTGATAAGACTCTCAGAACTTGGCTGCATATGTGTGGATTTTCTCCATCCCAGAGCGGCCTAAGTTAGTCCCTAAATGAACTGTTTTGCAACATGGTCTATAAGCCATTCTCAAATATATCAAGGAAATTCTAGAAGGTGTTATGTGCCCCAGCTAATTTAGTGTCATGAGCAAATGTGATGAAATCTCAATTTCTTTATCCAGGTCAGAGCTATTAAATGAAATCAGCCCTTGAGAGGCTCCTGAGGAGCAATTCTTAATGGGTAATCTTTCAGCTTGTTATGCACCCACTACCAGTGGGTAGGTCCAGACTTAATCTTTTTAGCTTATAGACAAAACTGCCAAGAGGTGAGTAGGTGGTGGTGGTGAAGGAGAATCTAAAGGCTTGTTAAAATCAATCAGGGTATGCCTATTACTTTTCCTTGGTCTAAACACAGCTCACCTCTCATATAGCACGAATGCAATATTTTATAACATGACTCATTGCTCAAAGAACCATGTCTCTCGTATATAATGCTTTGTTTTTATTTACATCACTGGAGTTTATCATTGGATCATTTTTAATAATTCCAAAGCTTTTTATGTTACTTTTTAGGTTGTCCTAGTCTAGAAAACTATTTTAAGAATGCTCCTATACACTGCAACAAAGACTAAGAAGTCTACAAAATAATGGGTGAACTTGTGGTTGAAAGCCTAAAGTGATAAATGATAACCACAAAAATCCAACATGTGAAGAAATACTCTGTTCTTTTAGGAAAGGGAAAGGCAGTAAGGGAAGATTAGATCTAAAGTTTTCCCAAAGGCTTACGTCCTGAAAATTGGAAAAAGACCAAACTCTGGAAACTGTTAAGATTTTTTAAAAGGGATTAGGCCTGAAAGCAGGCTGAGGGATAACGACTCTAAACTGAAAGATGGATTCTGCCCAATTGATATCAGATGTCTGAAGTTAAACACCAAGTAATCTTTCCATTTTACTTTTCATGATAGTGACAGGCAAATCAGAATCTATTTTTGATGCTCTTTCATGGCAGATATTGGAGAATCTATCCTGCCTCTGTACATTTGGTGTTTATGACAGGTCATATTTTCTTTGAAAGCCATAGGAATTGAATATATACTAACCCAGGAAGTGGCATAAATGACCCAATAGAGATGTTACCAGTCCTCAAATTGTTTCTATGCCTTTGAACATCTGCCAAAAGAAGTTAAAAATATTTTAATACAGCTGCATTTTTACTTGAAATGAAAATAATGTATTGCTTTGCTCACTGTAAAGATTACAATTATTTACTGTTTAATAAAAAGATCAAAAAGGAAAATGACAAAAGTTAAAAATCACTTGGCAGCTTTCCACTCAACCACTTTTAGCTTGTTTGTATGCATCCTTCCATCTCTGTGCATACATAAGCACATATAAAATTGTGTTTCCAAGTTTCATATGTAGGATCGTATTATGCAATATATTTTCATTCCACAATATATTATGAGTGTTTAATGTCAAAAATACGTTTAAATGACTGCATAGAATTATATTGGATGTATGTACATTTAGGTTGATGGATATACAATGTTTGTAATGTTTTGTTATTATAAATAAAACTTCCATAAACAACTTTCAGTATACATATTGACAGATTGGTGCAGTTGTCTCTTGAAGATAAATTATTAGGTGTGGTGTTTCTGAGACAAAAAGACTATTCATTTATATTTTTGATACATATTACTTAACTGCCCCCC
The DNA here is from genome assembly GCF_000001405.40 of Homo sapiens. Classification (NCBI taxonomy): domain Eukaryota; kingdom Metazoa; phylum Chordata; class Mammalia; order Primates; family Hominidae; genus Homo; species Homo sapiens. The sequence goes on along the minus strand of NC_000006.12, from coordinate 100,083,525 downwards.
AGAAGAGCTTTTTCAGTTTACTCCCAAAACAATGCATGATCTACTTCATTTACTTTGCTAACACTGTTTACTGTTGCAAACACCAAGTTTCATCAACTTTTTCATTGTTGTCCACCTTAGTGAAAATGATATTTAATTGCTTTATGTTTCTTTGGTTAATAGTAAAGCTTAAAATATTAATGTGAATTTTTAATCTTTTGTGAATTGTCAGTATATTATGTCCTTAGTCATCTTCTTTTCTATTATTGATTTTAAAGATCATATTTTTAAAAATACATATTAGGATGGTCAATTTTGTCTGCCATATTTAATTAAAATAATCTCCTGAATTTTTTACTTATCTTTCAGTTTTGTGTATAGTATTCTTTAATTGTGAAAATTTGTAGCTTATATAGTCAAAGTTTTATGTAGTCAATTTTACACTTATAGCTTTTATGTCATAACATGCCTAGAAAAATACTCAATTCTAATAATTTTATTATGTTACTTTTTGCATTTAAATTTTGTGATTCATAAGGGATTGATTTCTGTATGAGGATGGAGATAGGGATTAATTTTTTTTTCCAGTGGCTAAAATATTGTCCCAATATCCTTTGTTGAAAAAATCATTATTTTGCTCAGTTAGTTAAAATACCCGTCTTATTTTAGGCAAAATTTTTATATACACACGGTTATCTTTTTGTAATTTCTCTAGAATAATTGGCCTGTCTCTGTCTATAGTGGTAATATCAACTATAGCTTTTTGATATATCTTAATAGCTAGTGAGTAGAGAAATTTTATTACACTTAAAGAATATTTTTAGTTCCCCTTCTAATACAGTGATCCCCAGCCTTTTTGGCACCAGGGACTGGTTTCACAGAAGACAATTTTTCCACGGACCGTAGGTGGAGTGGGGGATGGTTTTGGGATGATTCAAGTGTATTACATTTATTGTGCACTTTGTTTCTATTGTTTGACATTGTAATATATAATGAAATAATTATAGAACTCACCATAATATAGAATCAGTGGGAATCCTGAGCTTGTTTTCCTGCAGCTAGATGGTCTCATCTGGGGGTTATAGGAGACCCTGACAGATCATCAGGCATTAGATTCTCATAAGGAGCATGCAACCTAGATCCCTTGAGTGCGCAATTCACGATACGGTTTGTGCTTCTATGATAATCCAGTGCTGCTGCTGATCTGACAGAAGGCGGAGCTCAGGCTAACATGAGTGGTGGAGAGCAGCTGTAAATATAGATGAAGCTTTGCTCACTGGGTCCGCCGCTCACCTCCTGCTGTGTGGCCCAGTTCTATGGACTGGTACAAGGTTGGGGACCCCTGTTCTAATATATTATTCTAGATAAAACACTTAGTCAATTTCCAAAAAAATTATTGGATGTTTAAGTGAATGACTAGGTGAATTTCAGTGGAATTAATTTTTGCCCTCTGGTGGCTTTGTGATGTGTCAGCTTGGCAAGGCTAAACTACACTTCCTGGAATTCCCTTTCTTATATATTTTCAGGGAGATGCTTGGATGAGATTTGGGGGTGAAGCAACAGACATTTTGTAGCTCACACACTTTATCTCTTATCTGCTGGTTCACTCCGTTGTTATGAGGGAGGCAGCAGCTGGACCTACAACTGTTGCACCTTCTCCTTCAGCTTCTCGGACTACTGGGCCAGGTGTATGTGACTCTTGGGCCATAACAAAGGTGCCTAGCTTCTGCAGGATACCATCAAAACCTGAGACAGGACCAGGACTAGAGTGAGAAAAGCCAGGCACCTAGGACATAAAAGTTAAGGGGGCCCTAACTCTTAGATTTGTGTAAGTACTGCCCCATGCTCGCGCAAACCAGAAAGCATGGACCTACCTAAATTTGCAACCTAGAAGCCACATCTACCTCACCCAAGTTTTGGCACTATATAATGCAATAATAATAGACCCAGGCTTTTGTTAGTCCCAGTGACTCCAGATTTTGCCTGTGGGTTCCATCTTGTTCTTGCTCTGTCCTACCTTAAAGTCATCCTCCTGTCCCAACTGCCTGCTCTGTGGATTTCAAGCTCCAGCATCAGATTCAGATGCTTAGCTCCCACAATTGCAGAGGGCCAAATTCCTGTAACAAATTCCTTTATATACATACATACACCCACATACATGCACAAATACAATCCAGGAAACTATGGCAGATAAAGTTGAACATCCCTTATATATAAAAATGCTCTTAAGAATCAATAATAGAAACATAGTCTGGGCGTGGTGGCTCACACCTGTAATCCCAGTATTTTGGGAGGCTGAGGTGGGCAGATCACTTGAGGTCAGAAGTTTGAGACCAGCCTGGCCAACATGGTGAAACCCTGTCTCTATTAAAAATACAAAAATTAGCCAGTCATGGTGGCACACACCTGAAGTCCCAGCTACTCGGGAGGCTGGGGCAGGAGAATCACTTGAACCCAGAAGGCGGAGGTTGCAGTGAGCTGAGATTGTGCCACTGCACTCCAGCCTGGGCAAAAGAGCGAAACTCCATCTCAGGAAAAAAAAAAGAATCAATAAAAAAAATTGATGGACAACAATATAATAAACCAACAATTTATAAAAGAATTAAAATTCAAATGCATATTTTAAGCTTCATTATTAATCAAAGAAATGAATATAAGCACAAATATCATTTCACCTATCATATTGGTAATATGATATGTAAGTATTCTCTTAGATCAACTCTTTTTCCTCCTTCCTCAAAGACCTATGATGTGCATTATATATGAATATAACTCACTATTCCATCTTGTTACAGTCATCTACAGAACTTCAGTCACTCCTCTTAACTCACTGAAGATTTTATCTCCTGGTTTACCATCTTCTCTACTGCTAATTTCATCATCATTCTTGATGATGTTGCACAAATTATCTATTCATCCCTGGACGCTCAGTTCCTCAAAATCCTCACTCTCAAGGATCTCGCCCTCCATCTCACCTCAGCCACCATTTCTTATAGTCACATCCTGTAATGTGCTATATCAGTGGGCACTATCAGACAGTCATTAAGATGTCAGACATCTTAATGTCAAGTTATCTCATTGTCACCAAAGAAGTGGACAATTGATGTATAGAAAAAAGGGTTTAAAAGTTTAAATAATATCTTCACAACAGAAGCATTTTTCCCACTAATGGTTTTCACTTATAATAATCTGATATGCATTTTAGTTCTCAGATTTTAGTCTCCAATACCATTCTCCCTCCAAAGGAACCAGGTGAGTGTGACAGCGGCTGAATCTGTGTTTTGAATGAGGCATATATCCAGATGGGTCTGTAATACATTGTTGTTTTGAAAAGTCAAGAATACTTTTTTTAAAAGTGCTTAAATAGGCTGGGCGCGGTGGCTCACGCCTGTGGTCCCAGCACTTTGGGAGGCCAAGGTGGGCAGATCACGAGGCCAGGAGTTCGAGACCAGCCTGGCCAACATAGTGAAACCCCATCTCTACTAAAAATACCAAAGAAAAAGAAAAAAAAAATTAGCCGCGCGTGGTGGCAGGTGCCTGTAATCCCAGCTACTTGGGAGGCTGAGGCAAGGAGAATTGCTTGAACCTGGGAGGCGGAGGTTGCAGTGAGCCGAGATCACACCACAAAACTCCAGCCCGGGCAACAGTGCGAGTCTCTGTCTCAAAAAAAAAAAAAAGTGCTTAAATAACAAAGGAGCTTCTTAAAGTTGAACTTGAAAGGTGTTTCCACAATTTGAATACCAAAATAAATATTAGTGTTTGGAGCAAGTTGAGTCTATGAAAAACAACTAGTTTATAATAAATTTCATAAAAGGAAAAGTTAATATAAAGTGTATTTTTTAGAATAGTTACAATAAAAAAGAAAAGTGGCAAGAATAGGGCATGACTGCCTTTTTAACTTAATTTTAATAAATTTCAGGCCTTTCTATGGATGTTATTTTTTCTATACTTATATGCTTCTCTATGAAATATATTATTAAAACTTGAAGTTACCAACATTTGGCCATTTTGAGTTACAAAAATGACAATTTCATATGTGTCAACCAGTAAATATGCATTTGCCTCTGTCTGTGTAAGAAACAAATGTTGTAAACAGGTGAAAATCATAAACATTAGAAACTATGCAAAGAACTGGAAGGAAAGATTTGATCTAGAAGTCACTCAAAATAACTAGTTAGAAGAAGAGGAAACAACGAGAGGTCAAATAATGGATTAGCCCAATGTCCTGAAAGACATTCTCATTGCACCAAATTACCTCCTTATCCTTGGGATCTCCCTGCTATTAATAATGAAATAGTAAAAATGACCAACAAAGTAAACAGTGAAGGAGGAAGAACATCTGCAAAAAATACTCAATGGGAGTGAAAAAACATCATCAGATGTCAAGGAGAGATCTGGTTTACAGTGTCCCATGCAAGTGGCAACTGAACATTGACTACCACAGGCTTCAGTTTGAGGTAACAACCAGGTCCTTGCAGGAAATGGCTCTACCATAATGCCTTGGTGACCTTGAATTTTTCCACATAAGTTATGTAGACTGCAGTCTGACCAGTCTTGGCAGTATGTCGTGCCATTTTTCATAGAGCAAGGGGTAATAAGTCTGGTGAGGAGCCGCCAGAAGAGTTTCTTATCCCCATCTTGCAGGAGATTGCTACATGGCTGTTTGTTATCCATCTCCCTAGTTTCAGTTGAGCACACAACTTTCATCTTGACGCTCCCTTACAGCTGCAGGTACAGCTGCAGGCTTCTGTTAAGTCTATAAAACTGCTTGGTTGTAGTTTAGAGTTGGCTCGTCTACAACAGAGCGGCTCACCGCTCATACAGTTAGTCATCTGGCCTCTCTGGTTTGGTGCCATCTTGTGGTACAAGGGATGCAGGGAGCCAACACTATGCCACTTGCTTTTGCTTTCTGACTCCATCTGGGCTCATTGTAGTTTTTTTTTTACCAGCTGAAGCTACGGAGGTATGTGGCAAGCCAAGCTAACAGGTGTAGTAGTAATATTTGTGGCCCTGTTAGCCACTGTGCTGCTGCTTTGGGAATGCTTGACTGCTTGACACTTCTCTAGCCCAGCCAAGAATCAAATATTCAGTAGCTCAGAAATGAAAATCTCAGCTGGTCTGAAACATCCTTTTTTGTTTTGGACCTGATGTGGTTAATGACACCTTAAAGAGGTAGAGAAAGAAGTACAGTATAATAAAGAGATGAAACAAACCCCAAATTTTGTAACTTTGAAGTAGCATATGAAATAATAAATGTTTATCATTGAAATAATTGGTGTATATGTTTAAGATAGTAAAAGCACTTAAGAAATTTAATATGTTACATCATGTTTTTCCCTAATATTTAAGGATATTTGTGTTTGAAATCCACATCTAAATGTTTAAGATAAACTTATTTATAAAATTAACACATTTTGATTTATTAATAATTTGTTAGTTGTGTAAGTAGTGTTTAAATGTTTACATTAAAAAATTTAACAGACATAAGTTATTGAATTGAAAATGGAAATATTTAAAATTAGTAGCAAGTGTTCTGTTTCTCATACAAAGAAGCCCGGGCATGATAGATCCCAGCTACATAATTCTCTCCTCTCTATCCAGCCTTATTACTCTGGAACATACTTACAATTCTTTAATTTGACGGCACATGGAGTCTATTGATCTCACTAATTTATGCTGCCCATCACCCCCTTCATATTCTCACGTCTGCTCTTCCTGGCTTAGAGTCCATGGTCCATCACCATACTCTCTCCTTTGCAAACATGCACCATTTCCTTAGTTTCTTTCAACACATACTAAACTCAAAACATAGGTCCAAATTAACCCAATTTTTTGCCTACTCCATGGCTTACCACACCTAGCTGACTAGTCATACTTTAAATTTATGACCAAAATTTCAAAAGCAGGACTTCAGTGTTGCTCAGCAGTTCTAGAAAATTCACACTTTCTCATAACAACTTAATAATTTCTTCTCTTCTTCTAGTCTCCAATATCCTCTCCTCCATTCCCCACTTCAGCTGATGACCTTGGTTTTTATTTCACTGGGAAAGTAGAAGCAATCAGAAAAGACTAGCTCATCTTCCCACCAGCAAATCTGGTACGTATTCATTTATGTAGCCATAAATTCTGCTTTCTTCTTATTGTTAGGGATGACTACCACTTCCATTTATTTATTGGATTGTATCCTCTCTTGCCTGTTCAAGGACTTTGCTCCTGAAATTATCTGCTTTTCCTTCTAAAATTACCTGATGTTCTTTCCAGTAGTATAAAAATGCACTGTTTTTTTCACAATGAAGAAAAATACCACCACCCTTATTGACTCCAAATCCTCCTCCCAGCTAAATTTTTCTGGTTTGTTTTTCAGCAAAACTCATCATTAGAGTTTTCTCCATTAGCTTTTTTTTCTTATTAACATTCACTCTTTCCATTCGTTTAACCCAAATCACTTCACTGGAAGGGCTCCTGTCAAGGTCTACTGGGCACCTCCAGGAAACTTTTTTGCTCCTATGGGAGTGATTCTGGAAGCACCTCTATCTTCCCCTCAATGTTGCCAGTAAGAAACTGCTGTAGCCAATTTGCCCCATGTCTGAGGATATATATCCATTGAAAAGGGAAATTATAAAAAAGAGAACTTAAGGGAAATGGCTCAGGTCACAGCTTAAGTCAGCCTGCACCCTGCTCTGCCTCTTTGCTTAATTCATTTTTCATTCAACGGTATTTACTGAACACCTCCTATAAGGCACTGCTAAAGGTGCTGAGACAGCTGTGAACAAAAGGTGAAGTCTATTTTCATGAAGCTTACATGACAGTGGAAAGGACAGATGATTCTGAACAATAATTTAAGAAATGTAACTGAGTTAAGGCTAGGGGAAATGAAGCAAAATTAGGGTGGTAAAAGCTAGAGTAACAAGCATGGGGATTTTTATGGCAGCAAACCTCTGCTCTCCTTATTTTCCTGAATAGTATCACTTTTCCATATCTAAAGTGTTATTGATAATAAAGATGGGATTTGTCCTCATTCAGTCAGGAGCATTCTTGATGCTAACAGAATTGACTTTGTTGAGCTGCACTGACAGTATTGCAGGGCATTGGATATCTGAATAACATCCTCTTCTAGGAATGCAGAAGGAGACTTGAATATTAAGTTTATTTATTTAATGTTGAAGATCATGGAACAAAATATGAATATCCAGATATCTTTTACTGCTAAAGAAGCTTCTGCTGCCTGGTGTTCTCATGAGGGTCTTCTGTTGTTAGAGGGTTGTTTTAGCGGTTGTTTACTTCCTTACTGACAAAATAGGGAACCTGTGGATAAATTATAATAAAATTTTATATCAGTGATTGTACTATTTGAAATAACCTCCTAATTTGGTCTAATTTCCAATATTCTTGCTGGACTTAGATCCAATTTCCAAACAGCAGCTGAAGCAGTCTTTCTAAAAGGCAAACTTGTCCACATTCCCCACTATGTACATACCTTTAGTGAGCTCCCCATTGCCTACAGAAAACCGTCTGAAACCACAGTAAAAGATACTAAGCCTTCACAACCTGGTTTGTACCTACTCTTTTAGCCTTTTAAAATCATTTTCTCATTTATTAGTTTATTATACATCTATTTGGTGCCAAGCTGTGTTCTAGGCGCCAGACATACAACAATGAGCAAAACATAGATGGATGGAATACCTTATTAGATCGGTGAATTTGTAGGAAAAAAACTGGGCATGCAAAGCCCAGTTCCTTCTCTTTCTCTAGTGGTCTAGTGCTGCCATGATTAGGAGGCCAAATTCTGGAATTCACATTTGGAAACCCCAGTATCCTATAGATATAGGCAATCAACTTCAATAACCACTTTATCAGTAATAAAGGTGAAATTTAATCTCACATTCCCTACTCTGTCTGCCTTTTATATAGTTCCAAATTCATGTGGAGAAGAGGGGTACCATTTACTGGATCTGTTTAAATTTCTAACACCAGCAATTTCACTCATAAAAGCTCAGTACAAAGGCTATGACTACTCTGATTTAGATAGATTTAGGTATAAATACACTTGAAAGTATGAGAATTCCATCTATTTTTATCATTTTTATATTCATCCTGAAATATATGTATATGTATATCTGTTTGTCTATTACTGCCAAGTCTTTAAAAGTCATCCACAGTGGACTGTAGGTGAAATTAACATAGGTTGTAGAGCCACACAAAGTGCCTTAGGCTTACTATTTTATTACTCTAGTACTAAGTGTGAATATATTTTCTTCTACATCTTTTTAATTATTTTGAACACCACTAGTCTCTAGGATTTATTTACATGGATGATTGTACATTAAAATTAAGCCTGCAATAAAAATCAGATTGAAAATTTTAATCTTCTAGGCAAAGAATAGAGTTGTTTGGCATCTCACACAAGTCAACAAAAAAATAGAAAAGCATCTGTTTAGTGAGGATTTGCTAATTTTTAAATAATTAGATGCCAAACTTCTACCTCCACACCAAAAAAGCTCTACTCTCATTAAGGGGATAGCACATACCGATGTCTATGGGAGTTTCATAAATATCAGCCCTTCCAGTTCGTCACAACTTAGTGGTTTCAATAATGAGAAAATCATGCTTGAGCAAAAAGAGTCATTTACAAATGCAAATTAACCTCCAAAATGAGCTTTTCTGAAGATAAATTTTACTACTTCTCTAAGAGAATTTATATTAGCCATTTGACTTGTGTCCACTGATTATGTTCTAATACTTCCCTAAAAGTACAAAATGTAAACTTCACTTGGCATAACTTGTGTTGAATTTTAATAACTTTATTCTTTGTTCATCACACACACAAATTTTTTTATAGAATACTATATCAAAGACAGAGATTTTCATTCCATTTTTAACATCAGTCATTATGTATTTAATTATTTTTATTTGCTCTCCTATCAAAAAGACAGTGGACAGTTTCAAAAAAATAAGTATAGTAACTTTCCTGACTACTTTAGGCAATCACTAAAGTGAATATATTTGACATTAAATTTAGAGACTCCATAATGTAATTATATTTGTGATGTGGGGATATGAATTCATCTTTTGGAAAGCCTAAATGATTAAGTTAACTAGTCAACCAATCAAAAATATTCATTCTTTTTAATAGGGAGAACCTCTGGCTGAGTCCAAGTTAGCAATAATATTTTGATCCTTGGATTAAAAATGAAGCCACATGTAGTAGTGAAAATATAGCTATCATTTATTGAGACTGTTATGTGCCAGGCATATACCAGATGCTCAGTATATGTTATCTCATACAATTTAATCCCTACAATAATAGCTGGGGTAGATAGCATTACAATTACACAGTTTTACAAGTGTGCAAACTGAGTCTCAGAGAGTTTCAGCTTAACTAAGATCACATAGCTTGTAGGTAGCAGAACTGGGATTTAAACTTAGGGATGTCTTCTTGAAATGCTGTCCTTTGTCTCTACACTATGAAGTATTTCAGATGATGATCCGTTTATGCCAAAGTCATTATTTGTGAACTGGTTGGCGAGGTATGGGGCAGTGTTTACAGCACAGCCAGCCATTCAGTCTCAGGGTGGATTTTAAGATCTTTTCCTTCATTAATATCATAAACTAAGTAATTGGACGAACTTATCAAAGATATCCCTTATGTGAATGTAAATTTGACATAAAAACATAAACTCAACTCAGGTTTTTACAGACATCCTAAATATCTGAAGCATTTCTGACCATTTATCACTGAACTAAGCTGTTCATACAAGCTGTACAGGTTGCTAATCTTATACAGGCATAGTTTAAGATCAATGCTTTTGGATAGAGAGGAAAATGAAGTGACAGCAAGACAAATAATCCACCCCTTCTCAACCAAAGATTCTTTCACATAGAATTTCTTGACATTAACAAGAAATAATATCAGAAGTGATATCAGCAAGATGGTGGAATAGGAGGTCCCAGGCTTCACTCTCTCTCACAGAAGATCAAGTAGCAAATATACACAGACCAATGCACCTGGTGAAACCTCAGCATGTAAAAATCAACCTGAATTACCTGTGTGTTCCACGAAACTAAATAAAAACTTTCATTGAAAGGATAGGAGAAATGATCTCACTTTAACCACATTACTATTCCTCCTCCTCCAAGTTGGCACAATGCCACACAGAGAGGATTCTCCAGGACCCATGGTTTCTACAGTGGGAAAAGAGATCCAAGTAAGTGGACATCCAGCTTCCCTAGCATTCTGAGATGCCTACCAGGAAACTCACTTTGCTTTCACCTCATGGGGAACGGGGAACATACAGAAAAACTGCACAGCTAGACTCCCTGGGGTCAAGCAAAAAACAAAGCAATAGAGAGAGGCCACAGAGAGCAATGTGTCAATTTTGGTGAAAGCACAGTGTACCTGACAGCAGTGTTGCTCAATAAAAGGTGCCAACTAACAGCATAGCTCATCCACAAAACCAAGTTGGTGACCCCAGAAAAGGTGAGAAGTGCTACATTGCTTGAATTCCTGGATGGTCAGCCTCTATAGCCAGCAGTATACTCTACCCAAAATCATTACCCAGGGAGGGAGAAAATTCCTGCAGTGAATTTCTAAACAAGTAGTATCTAGATAGGCCACATCTGAAAGCTTAATCAGTATTCCCTGCAACCTCAAAGCTCAACCCTAGACCCTGTCCAGGGAGGGAGGAAAACCTCAATTGTACATTTCTACTGAGCATAGCAGTTGGTTCATCCATCCTAATTTACTTAACCTCAAGGCTCCTCCTGCAACCCTGTGCAGCTTCTAAACTCAGATGACAGTACCTTATAGCCTGAGAACATACTCTGTAACCTAGCTCAAATTCAGAGCAAATGTATCATCCAAGCCATCTAGAGAACCTGAAAGAAAGCTTTGCTTGCCAGTCCATCTAGAATCACAGGCTAGACTAACTAGTGAAGATCTATCCTTGCCAAAGGAAATCTCCTATAAAAGTTGGAAAAAGTGGCTATCCATGCAAATGTGTAAACACCAAGGCAAGGACACAAGGATTACAAAGACTCAGGAAATCATGGCACCTACAAAAAAATTAACAAATCATAGATAGCTCTTATTATTTTGAAATACGTCCCATCAATACCTAATTTATTGAGAGTTTTTAGCATGAAGGGTTGTTGAATTTTGTCAAAGGCTTTTTCTGCATCTATTGAGATAATCATGTGGTTTTTGTCTTTGGCTCTGTTTATATGCTGGATTACATTTATTGATTTGTGTATATTGAACCAGCATTGCATCCCAGGGATGAAGCCCACTTGATCATGGTGGATAAGCTTTTTGATCTGCTGCTGGATTCGTTTTGCCAGTATTTTATTGGGGATTTTTGCATCAATGTTCATCAAGGATATTGGTCTAAAATTCTCTTTTTTTGTTGTGTCTCTGCCCGGCTTTGGTATCAGAATGATGCTGGCCTCATAAAATGAGTTAGGGAGGATTCCCTCTTTTTCTATTGATTGGAATAGTTTCAGAAGGAATGGTGCCAGTTCCTTCTTGTACCTCTGGTAGAATTCGGCTGTGAATCCATCTGGTCCTGGACTCTTTTTGGTTGGTAAGCTATTGATTATTGCCACAATTTCAGATCCTGTTATTGGTCTATTCAGAGATTCAACTTCTTCCTGGTTTAGTCTTGATAGAGTGTATGTGTCGAGGAATTTATCCATTTCTTCTAGATTTTCTAGTTTATTTGCATAGAGGTGTTTGTAGTATTCTCTGATGGTAGTTTGTATTTCTGTGGGATCAGTGGTGATATCCCCTTTATCATTTTTTATTCCGTCTATTTGATTCAGCCAATATCATACTGAATGGGCAAAAACTAGAAGCATTCCCTTTGAAAACTGGCACAAGACAGGGATGCCCTCTCTCACCACTCCTATTCAACATAGTGTTGGAATTTCTGGCCAGGGCAGTTACACAGGAGAAGGAAATCAAGGGTATTCAACTGGAAAAGAGGAAGTCAAATTGTCCCTGTTTGCAGATGACATGATTGTATATCTAGAAAATCCCATTGTCTCAGCCCAAAATCTCCTTAAGCTGATAAGCAACTTCAGCAAAGTCTCAGGATACAAAATCAATGTACAAAAATCACAAGCATTCTTATACACCAATAACAGACAAACAGAGAGCCAAATCATGAGTGAACTCCCATTCACAATTGCTTCAAAGAGAATAAAATACCTAGGAATCCAACTTACAAGGGATGTGAAGGACCTCTTCAAGGAGAACTACAAACCACTGCTCAATGAAATAAAAGAGGATACAAACAAATGGAAGAATATTCCATGCTCATGGGTAGGAAGAATCAATATCGTGAAAATGGCCATACTGCCCAAGATAATTTACAGATTCAATGCCATCCCCATCAAGCTACCAATGCCTTTTTTCACAGAATTGGAAAAAACTACTTTAAAGTTCATATGGAACCAAAAAAGAGCCCGCATCGCCAAGTCAATCCTAAGCCAAAAGAACAAAGCTGGAGGCATCACACTACCTGACTTCAAACTATACTACAAGGCTACAGTAATGAAAACAGCATGGTACTGGTACCAAAACAAAGATATAGATCAATGGAACAGAACAGAGCCCTCAGAAATAACGCCGCATATCTACAACTATCTGATCTTTGACGAACCTGAGAAAAACAAGCAATGGGGAAAGGATTCCCTATTTAATAAATGGTGCTGGGAAAACTGGCTAGCCATATGTAGAAAGCTGAAACTGGATCCCTT